>NC_000015.10:87198853-87350369 GCF_000001405.40 Homo sapiens | reverse complement strand
CCAGAATTGATATTTCCCATTAAGGAAGGAGAGGGAATGGGTTTTCTGTGTGACTGAGGGAAGCTTCTGGCTTGTGGACCTTTTACCAGAATGATGTGCAACTAGAAACCACAAGGTTTAGCTCACAGCCTCAGACCAGGTCATCTAGAAGATTTTACTGAACTTTCTGAGATTACCAAGGACACTTGTCTGTGTGTGGCATCTAGGGGAGTCATGAACTTGCCTGTTCTCTCCAATGTTGGCTTTTTTTTTTTTTTTAATGTCATTAAGTCTCCAAATGATGTCTCTGAGTCCATTTCCACTTAGATAGGATTATCCATTCATATGGTCAATGTGTCTTGTTTTAGGCTGAGCTTCTCATGCGTGAAATTTGTTGTCTTCCTTTTAAGGTGTTTACTGCCTCAGTGACCTTTACATTTGACAAAAAGGTTTTTTAATCCACCAGACTGTTGCTTTTCTAAGTGGTTTCTCCTCTGACTGGCATCACTGAGTGGACTTTCCCTGTTTACAGGAACTATTAAGACATTTTGTCTTTTGTGTCAAATCAAAACTGTGCTTTTATTCACCTTTACTTTTTTAAGTTTGCTTTAAGTGACAATGCATGCACTTACCTAAGATAATCAATCACATCAGTATATGTGAAGCATGACCACAATACGTTAACAGTAGATGCAGAATTCCATTCATTTCTCCTGTTCTCTCAGAGCGTGGATGAGAACAGTTCAGAGTTAAAAGGTAATAATAGATTAAAATTCCTCCTAAGGCTGTGAAGACCAGGACTGGATGATATATAAACTGACTTATAGATTATTCCAGTTTTAGTGGGTGGGTATTGGCATTGAGGCCTTTGCTCCAAACCCTCATCGGACATAAAGAGGTTTGGTTTCAGATCTCCCAACAGAACAGAGAAAACACCAGTGACTACTAAAGTGGATTGTGCTTTTTGCCTATGGCCCGTTACCATGGGCAACCAACACTCTGTGGAGGACTTGTGTATTGCAGAGAGTGCTAACATCTCTTTAAAAAACAGTTTAGTGCAAACATTTAGGATGTGTGGCCTGGCTTTACCATTCACTCCTTGTGTAATTTTGAACAAGTCACTTCATTTCATTTCTCCAGGATGACATGTATCATCAACTACCAGGAGGTTTGAGCAATGTAATATATAAAAGAATTCTCTACATTTTAAAGCTCTAAGTATAGGCTATTTTTGATACTATCATTTAGATCGTACCTAAGTTAAGAAAAAATAAATTCATTATCTCACAAATGAGCTTCTCTTCACTAACATCTGTTGACAGCCTCCTGAAGGCCAGGCACTCTGCTAGGCATTTGACACTTGTTTATTTTTACCGACAACACATGAGATAGTGTTATCTCCATGTTTACATTGGGGGAATCTTATGATCTGAGAGGAAACGTGAGTCACCCACGGTTACACAGTGATGGAGCTTAGATTGAACACAGGTTTCTCTGACCCTATAGCCTAAGCGTTGTTTGTTGGTTTGCTTGCTTTTAACATGAAAAGCATGTAATCCAGACATGGAAACAGTTGTCTCCTCCATTCTATCGCAAGCATCTTGTGATCTTTCTGGATTTGATCAGCAGCACTTGAGAAAGCATCAGCTTGTTATTTCATTAGCTCAGATGAGTAAAAAACACCACCCTGTGACAGTATTAAGGATAACGCTGCCATGATAATGCAGCCAAACACGATCAAAAACAACTACATTATCAAAAAAATCACTTTTAACTACAAATTGTGACTAATTAGACTTTGAATATAAAATCAAACGAAAATGCATGAAGGCTCAATTTTCCAGACAGCTGACAGTCTGACCCTTTTAGGAGTGTGAATGAAAATTATTTTTTAATTCACATGCCTAATCATTTTCCATCATTTTGAGGTAATTGGCTTTGTCTATGAGGGGGTGTTGTGGGGTGCTACTCTGCTCCATGGCTAGTTACAGCTGGCACGTTTAACCACAGGGAGCTTTGGAGGCATGCTCTATGCTAGCTTGGGGATTCCCCCATCTCAGAATCATCAGAGGGAGAAGTTCACAGTCCCATTTGTTTGTGTATGTTTATTTCTTTTTCTGATAAACAGAACTGTTTGGTTTCATTAGTGAGTCTTTTGAGAGTTGCTCCTCTCACCATGCAACTTTGTCCCCCCATGTATAGGAAAGACAGAAAGCAGGATCTGTTCCTTCTCTTGTCTCCACTAGGGACAACACTCTTTTCCTGGCTGTGTGTGAGGACGGTCTATCTCTTGTTTAGTCTGTTCCTCAGTTCTTCAGGAACCAAGAAGGGGCCAGGACATAGGTTACCCTTGCTCATAATGCCAACGAGAATTGGAAGCATCATTCTATGCTCTATGCCCAAGAGTATAATTGCAAGGGACTGTGAAACTATGGTTTGTGGTTTCTCTTTAATCCAAACACTCTTTCTCAATACATCTTTTATAGGGACACCAAGCTGGAGCCATCTGTTTGGCCCCTTTTTCCTGGTCTCTCAGGTCCTGGGGTAATTCTGAAGAGTGATGTGACTGCAAAACATGTATGGTTGTTTTCTGCTGGTATCAATTGATTTTTCTAGAATAACTTTGATGTATTCTTTGAGGTCAAGATCACCTTGCCTCCACTGCCACCACTGCCACCAGGGCAATAGAAAGGAATGAAATGGATAAACAGTTCCAAAAGCACAATTCTGTCACAGCTGGGTTTCCAACCTGATATCAGGAACACCTTTGGCCTGGGGCAAGGTGTTGGGGACTGCTAGCTGTCCTCCTTGTCTTTTACCCTTGGTTCTCAGATGATTCATTGCAGTAACTGTTTTGGGCAGTGTGGTCATTATATGATATTGAGTCTTCTGTTGAAGAGCATGAGTTGTCTTTCCACTTGTGTCCTCTTCAATTTCTTTCATCAATGTTTTCTGGTTTTCCTTGCGAAGATCTTTCCCCTCCTCAGTGAAATTTATTCCTAGGTATTTTTGTAGCCACTAGAAATGGGAATAACTCCTTGATTTCTTTTTCAAGTGTTTTATTACTGATGTATAGAAATGCTACTGATTTCATGCATTGATTTTGTATCCTGCATCTTTACTGAATTTATCAGCTCGAAGAGTTTTTTGGTGGAGTCTTTTAATCTTTCTGAATATAAGAGCATGTCATCTGCAAAGAGGCACAATTTGACTTCCTCTTTTCTCATGTGGATGCCTTTTATTTCTTTATCTTGCCTGATTGCTCTGGCAAGGACTTCCAGTACTACAATTAATGAGAGAAAGGCACAGCGAGTTTTCATATGCCCCTGCCTTCCCACGTGCATGGCTTCCCCCATAATCAACATCCCTCCCCAGAATAATACATTATTACAATTAATTAATCTACACTGACACATCATTATCATCCAAAGTACATAGTTTACGTTAGGGTTCACTCTTGGTGTTTTACATTCTGCAGGATAGGACAAATACGTAATGATATGTGTCTAGCATTATAGTGTCATATAGAGCTTAATATTTTTTTGAATTTGATAATATATCTTTTTAACAATATATATTTCCCACACCAGTGCACATTAATCTAACTCAATTTTAAGCTATAGGAGTGTACTCAACTATAATTTGTATTTATTTCCTCTATTTGGACATTTTGATTGATTTTGAATTTTTTGTGATTACAGACAAGGCTGCGGTCAGCATCCTTGTATAAATATTGCGGTGTGTATGTGTACATCTTTGTGAACAAATACTTCTTGGACATATACCAAAGAGTGAAGTTGATAAATTAAGATTATTTAAATTTTAAAGGATATTGCCAAATTGCCCACCAAAACAGCTGTGTAAATTGATACTCCTATGAGCAGTGTACAAGATTATCCACATTCTCATACTCTTATCAAAACTTGATGTTATCAAACATCTATAATTTTTGACAACCTTGTGAGGAATAGTGTCTCACTAATGCTTTAGTTTTACTTTCCTGGTGATTAGTAATGTTGACTATATTTTTATAGCTTCTTGGCCATGGGATTTTTTTTTAATTTTCTTTGCTTATATCCTTTGTTTGTACTTCTATTCAGTCTTTCTGATTCTTGACACTTGCCTCAAGTGAACAATCATCTGATTGACCGTAATCTCTAATTAACAGCATGGCAAAGGATATGGGATTTGAAGTCAGCCATATCTAGTTTCAAATCTGAGTCATGCCCCTCCTGAGGTCTGTAACTGCAGCAAATTATACTTATGCCTGTCTGCTTTCCTGTTGATCACATGGGGAAAATAATGCCTACCTTATAAGGTGGGTGTGTGTGTGTGCACATATGTGTTAAGATGAATATATATGTGAAATGGGCAATTGGTCATTTTGACCTACCCAATAGAGTTATCGAGTCTGCCCAGTTTTATATCACAATCTTGCCAGATTCCCAACTTTGTCTCTTCAGCTCTTGATTTAGTGTTTACCCTATACCCACAGCAATGGGGGCAGCTGACTCACATTTGTTAAATAAGTTTCAGGGCTGAAGCTTGATACAGTTGAATCCTGTATAATTATTCTTTCTCTGCTTGGATTCTGAACCTCAGGTCTGGTTGGTCCTCTGAAGTCACCACATCTGCATGCCTCTTCCTTCTGTATGTACCCACCTCCATTGGGCTCTGCTGTGTGAATATAATGCTGTGCAATGGAGCTATCATCTTAGCCTGATGCCCCAGTCTCCCCCACTTCCATTGCTCTTTCTTGAGTCAAGACTCGACCTGGCATTTTTGGATTCACAAGCCCACGTTTTGAACTACTGCTAAGAGCTCTACAAATATCATTCCTAGGTCTCTGACTCTGAAGAAGTTACTTAATCTCTCCGAATCTCAGCTTCCTTATTGTTTCATGGAAATAATAATACCAAATTTGCACTACTATTGCAGAGATTTGGAAGCGATTATATACTTAGCACCATTACTTATTTCCCCATGCTCCTGTTTCACTTGCAAACAGTCACAAAAAATAGCTATTCCTGGTGTTTGTTTTATTATAGTTCTTTGTAACCGTCAATACACAATGGATCTTACTAAGATTCAATGGGCATTTGGCTGGCTTCCTTCTAAGAAATACAACCAGAGGTAAAATGTTAAAATGAGGATAAATAATTCCTATGAAAACTGAAGTAACGTTTGTCAATCACAGTCTTAGATTGTGACTTTGGCTAAATGTGAAATGACCAATTCAAAATTCACAATTAGCTGTTGGAATTTGGGAATGAGATTTTATAGAGATTACTAATTTTCCAGAGGGACATATTCCTGGGCTAGATGAGAGATTTCCCGTTGGATTTTTGCATGCTCTTGCATCTTTGCCATTAAAAAGGGCAGTGCCATGGGCTAGAGGAAGGGAGACTTGATATTAAAAAATTTAAGAAAACGATGCAGGCTCCAAGGAGGTGAGTGGAATGTGACAAATGAAAATTGTATATGATTTCCAGAAGCCAAGGGAGATTGGCACCATTGTTTCATAAAGGAATCGATGGCATCATATTTAATAGGAGGAAACGTGACTACCATGGCAGAACAGCTTTCCAGGAAAGATGTGAGAGATGGGGTGGGAGACTGGGCATGTCACTACAGAAAGGCAACCAATTCTCCTTTTACCTTTTACTCTGTACTTTTCAGACAGGTGTGCCAGAGTAACAAAACTGATGCAGCTTAACACGCTCTTAACCAAATGGTCTATTTGTTTATTTAGAAATCAGCATTGCCTTTTTTGCACTGAATTCACCAGTTACCTGGATGGTTCCTTAACCAGGAATAAAATAGTAAAAGAGAGGTCCAGAAAAAGAATTAATTTTGAGGCATCTTATTTTAGAGAGTAAAGGCCTTCTTTTTTCACTCTGGCAAGATTCTTTTTTCCTGCATTAATTTGACATTGGACTCACAGGCTAGCTACATGTTTGTTGATGATGTGAGTTTACAAATGTTTAAGCTAGGCCAGAGCCCCATCGGATCACTGCTCTTCAGTATTCACATGTTTTCCCGTCTTCCTGTCTTGCTCTGAAGCTGTCCTAAAGAGAGATCTTGTTTTGTGTGTGTGCATGTGGTGTATGTGTTTTCTTAATTGCAGTTTCTTTGCAGCTGGAATCCAGCTTTTCCTTTCACTTGGTGAAAAGCATCCACAAATATGTTGTAGAGGATGTGCTAATTAATGGATGTCCAAACATCTGGGGAGAAACAAGCAAAGTTACAGTTAACACACCATAAACAAATACAGAAAGGGCGGACAGTTTGAGCACATGAAAGACTGCTTGGAGGAATGTATTGTGTATACTCTCTCTGCACCTGTTTATTAGCACAGTTTTGTTTGGAAGGGAAGACGATTTTGTCTTACTCTCTGAATGTTCTAACTTAATGCCTGATTCTATAAATGAAGAACTGCTCGTCTGTGCATGGAAAGTCTCTTAGGGAAGGGAGAAATGATTCTGCTGGCAATCTACAAGCAACCCAGGAGCTTTAGTGATGGAGTGCTTCTCTGTTTCTCACGTGCATGTTTATGCACACATATGGATTAAAATGTGGTTTCAACCTTCCTCTTTCAGCCAGCCTAAAATTATTCTTTCCCATTCCTCATTCTCTCTGATTTAATTAGCTCTCCATACCATGCACCAGCAGGTCTACAGAAGTAACAACTATAAAATATAATAAGAGCTAGCATGTTCTGTGCACCTGCTGAGTGCCAGACCATCTTCTTAGGTACTTTATGTGCATGATTCCATGTACACCTCACAGAAGCCTTATGAGTAAGGTGTAGTCATTCTTCACATTTTACAGAGGAGAAAACTAATGGATAGAGAGGTGAAGCAACTTGGTCAACATTCGATAGCTATTTATGGCATGGCTTCTATTCATAGTTTTTGTCCCAAGTTTTACTTCCTAATTGACAACTTGCTCTCCCTTTTATACAATGCATTTCCTGACTTTGGATTTTTTCACTTGTTTTGATCTGTTTTTGCTACTATTAGCTTTTCTATCCTGTGATCTATGTAGTTTTTGACTCTCAGGTTTCTCTCAAGCACTGTAGCTCATAGTTACCATACTGTTTCTCCCCATCGTGGGATGGCTCTGCCATTTATCTGTGCTTGTGGACTTCACAATGAAGACGAACTCCAACCCTTGAGCCTATATCCCTCCAAATCTCTGTTTTCTAGAAGGAAGGAGGACTCCTGTCTATTATGTTTTTGTGTAACCCGTTTTAGTAATTGTAAAGCTGAGTTTACCAAGGGTGTACATGTTCAAGCACCATTGACTCCCAAAATATTTTTTCAGAGATAACCTAAGGGAATATAAGATACTTTCAGGAGCTTACATTTTTAATTATCCTTTACTGCCTCCATTATAGCATTCAAATACCTCAACGTGCCTATAAGACTGGCTGACCTGGTTCTGGTTCATAGTTCCAGCATCATTGCACACCTTCTCCATCAACCCTAGTATCTGGTTTCTAGCTTTCTTTGTTGCTGGCAGTTTCCCAGATCTTCCTCTCTGTCTCCTCCTCCTCCCCCTCTGTAGATCCTCTACGTGTGAGTGTACTCCTGGGCATATTCTGTGCTCTCAATCCATCTGGTCCTATGACTTAATTTTTTTTTAGCAACTCCTAAGTATATTTATCTAGTCCTGATCTTGCCCTTGAAACCAAACCGGTATATCCAACTGCTTACTTCATTCCCCCAGCCCCACACTGGGTAGTCTAAAACCATTGAGTTTGGCACAGAATTATTCAATAGAGATTGTTAGAAAGGCTTCCATTCAGTGCAAGTTATGTTGGAGAATCCATGTGTCTAGCATGGGACTGCACCTTGAAAAGAAGAGGTTCCATTTATCTCACCGAAAGGCACCCGTGTTCTAATGAGTTGTGTACTCACGGACCTGATACTCCACTAAGGGACACCATATTTTAATATGAACAAACTCAAATTAGCTTGGAGTCTCTCTTGCATTTTAAAGAATGCTCCCTGAGGGCAGAGTCCTTGTTGGGAATGCTATTGTAAATGGCTTTTTTTTTTTTAATTTTCAAATTCTGATTGTTCATTGCTGATAAAAGCAATTGACATTTGTATATTAACCATGGGTCCTGCAACACTGCAACTCTCTCTCATTAGTTCCAGGAATTGTTTTGTTGATTATTTGGGATTCTCTATGTAGATAATCATATAGTCTGTAAATAGAGAGTTTTATTATTTTTCTTTTCAAATTGCATTCCTTTTATTTTTTTTAAATCATATTGTACCAGCTAGAACTTCCAGTACAATACTGAATAGGCTAGTGAGAGAGGGCATCCTTATTCCTGATGCTGAGGAGAAAGTGTCCAGTATCTCAGAACAGTGTCTACCACACAGGAGGTGCTGAGTAAAATCTGGAGAATAAATAATAGAACAAATATCTCTTCAAACAGAACAAATATCTGTTCAAATAGAACAAATATCTCGTTTCAAAATCTATTGCTCTGCTTTAGTTAAATCCAGAAAGCAATGGTACTAGTTAGTTAGATGTTAAAAACTGGGAGGAAAAATATAACCCAGAATTTATTCATTTAAGAAACTTGGTGCACATAATCATAATAGCTAAATTTATTGAACTCTTACTATGTGGTAGACACATTTAAGTTTAATTCTCATATAAACTTCATAAGGAAGACACTAGTGTTCTCTATTTTATGGACGGAAACAAACATGTAGTCTATGTAATGAGCAAGATCACTTGGCTAACATAGAGTTAAGCAGAGCAGGAATGCTTCATTGCATATCTGAAGAAAGAAGTGGGAGACTAGGAAGACTCAGAACTACAGTGGCTAACAGGGAGTCCCATGAGTTGGGTTGAAATAAGGCTCAGAGCAGACATTGATTCATGTAGTTCCAGGACAGCATTCATCACCCTTTAAAAGAACAACTGCAGCCAGGTGCGGTGGCTCATGCCTGTAATCCCAGCCCTTTGGGAGGCCAAGGCTGGCGGATCACAAGGTCAAGTGTTTGAGACCAGCCTGACCAACATGGTGAAACCCCGTCTCTACTAAAAACACAAAAATTAGGTGAGCATGGTGTCGGCACCTGTAATCCCAGCTACTCAGGAGGCTGAGGCAGGAGAATCGCTTGAACCCAGGAGACGGAGGATGCAGTGAGCCGAGATCCCGCCAGTGCACACCAGCCTGGGCAACAGAGCGAGACTCCATCTCAAAAACAAAGAAACAAAAAACTGCATAATGTATTATGCGATTGGTATATATTTTATGACATAAAGGGTCAATAGGCATATGTTGGGTCTAACGGAGCAATTTGAGGTGTATAGGTACCCCACCTCTTTCCTCTTTACCTGTATGGTATGGGCTTTGGCCATATCACACATCACATCTTGTTCTACCTTTACTCATGCATCTTCCACTTTTCATATTGACCTTGTCCACCCGATGTCTTGGCAAACACACAGTAAATGTATATTGAATTGGACTGATAATCTAACAATTCTAACATTGACTTGTCTCATTCAGGAAGCATGATGGTATAATATTATGATGTCACGGGGTACTTGGTCTACATTTTTGAACAATTTTACAGTAATGTACATACCATTTTAAAGTAATGCAAATAATGTATAGACAAAAATGAACAACAACAACAACAACAGAAAAAAAAAAAAAAAAAACAGGAAAAAGCTCCACAATAAAAAGTTGGGTAACCTGAGTTAAGGTTCTTGTCTTCATAATTTTGTTTCACTGGGAGGAAGACTGTTTGTTTGTATATCCTTGTCCTTGTTTTCAAAATAAAAGTCCCATCTTTGGGGATCTGAAAAGTCTCCTTCTGTTACTCACTTTCTAAAATATACCTGTCAGGCCTACCCTATAAGAACCTTAAAATGTTGCCCACAGCCATTTTCTTCTCTGCAAACCAAGACCATGTAATAAGATGTGTTTGACAGAGAATTAAAATGACATGCTACCTATTTATCCAAAGACCACAGGAAGCAATAGTTGAGGAACAGTGTTGAGAGGTGTTTCTTTTCCATAAAGCTGTTATAATTACATAACAACGATGATAAGAAAGAAATGTAATCCATTTGAACTGACTGTATTTTATTTTTTAAATATAAACTTATCTTAGAACAGTTCAGATAGTTACAGAATTATTGTGAAGATAGTACAGAGAGTTCTTGTATACCCCGAAACTCAATTTCCTCTTTATTAATATTTTACATTTGTCACAATGAATAAAGTAATAACAATAAATTCTTACTAACTGAAGTTCATACTTTATTCAGATTTCCTCAGATTTTTTCTCTGATGTCCTTTCTCTGTTCCATGATCCGATCCATAACACCACATTACGTCTAATAGCCATTTTGGTTTCAGCTCTTCTTGAGTGTGATGCTTTCTCAGATGTTGCTTGTTTTTAGTGACCTTGAAAGCTTTGAAGATTATTGCTCTGAGATTCTGTAGAATGTCTTTGAATTGAAAATTGTCTCTGATATATGCTTTTACTTACTTATTTGTTTGTTTGTTTGTTTATTATGTTTTATAATTAGACCACTCCAGTAATGTGGTTTTGGGAGGAAGACCACAGAGGCAAGTGTCATTTTCATCACATCATATCTAGGATGTATATTATTTATACAACTTATCACTTTTGTTGTTAACCTTGATCCCCAGACTTGACTTAGTGTTTGTCAGTTTTCTCTTCTGTCTTTATTCTTATATTCTATACTGTACCTTTTGGATGAAAGTCACTATACCTTACATAATATGTATGTAACTCCCCATTCCTTAAATGTTGGAAGGGTATAGTGACTTTGGAATTCTTTTGCAGATGAGATTTTTTAAATTCTCACAATGTATTAAGTTGTTTATTTACAACAGTATGAGCTCATGAATATTTATTTTATACTTCGGGTTATAATAATTGAATTTTATTTTGCTACTCAAATTGTCGCTGTTGTGGTCATTTGAAGCTTTTTCAGTTGACTCTTGTATTCTTTTGACATCTGATCATTGTGGAGTTCTTCTGTTTGTTTTGTTTTTAGAACTTTATTATTACCTGGCACTACAACAGATAATAATTCTGTCATATAATCAGAATTATACAGTATTAGCTATTTCAGACTAGTTTATTTTATTTAGCAATGTGGAATAAGATTCATTTGTGTCTCCTCATGGTTTAGTAGTTCACTTATTTTTATCACTGAATACTAGTTCGTTTTGTGTATGTACCATTTATTTAGATTTTCTCTTATTTTTTATCTGTATTTTGTACTTGCCAGCATATAGGTTCTGTACATATTTAGTTAGATATTTAGATGTAGGTACTGGGAATGCTATTGTAAATGACATTTTTTTTTTAAATTTTCCAATTCTGATGGTTCATTGCTGATATAAAGAAAAGCAATTGACATTTGTATATTAACCATGGGTCCTGCAACGCTGCAACACTCTCTCATTAGTTCCAGGAATTGTTTTGTTGATTATTCGGGGTTCTCTACAGAATCATATAATCTGTAAATAGAGAGTTTTATTATTTTTCTTCTCAAATTGCATTCCTTTTATTTTTTTTTTAATCATGTTGTATCAGCTAGAACTTCCAGCACAATACTGAATAGGCTGGTGAGAGAGGACATCCTTATTCCTGATACTGAGGAGAAAGTGTCTAGTGTCTCACCATTAAGTATAATGTTAGTTCTATGGGTTTTGTTGTAGATATTTTTTTTTCAAATTGGGGAAGTTCTCCTCTATTCCTGGTTTGCCCATGGTTTTTACCATGTGTGAGTAGTAGAGTTTGTCAAATTCTCTTTCTGCATCCATTGACATGATTGGTGTTTTTCTTCCTCAGTCTGTTGATGAGGATTACATTAATTGATTTTCTGCTGCTGAACCAGCCTTGCATAACTGACCCAGAATAAATCTCACATCATTGTGGCATATAATTTTTCTCATAGATTGTTGAATTTAATTTCTTAATGTTTTGCTTAAAATTTTTGCATCCATATTAGTGAAGAATATTGGGCTTTGATTTCCTTTTTGTGAGTCTTTACCTAGTTTTGGTATTAGAGTAATGTTGGTCTTACAGAGTAAGTTAGGAAGTTTTCCCTCATCTGTTTTCTGTGAGAGATTGTGAAGAATTGGTATAATTTCTTCCTCTTATAGTTCATGTAATTTAGCAGTGAAATCATGTGGACCTGGTGATTTCTATTTTGGAAGGTTGTTAATTGATTCTATTTGTTTAGACACATGAGTGGTCAGGTAACTTACTTCTCTTTGTGTAAATTTGTACTGTTTGTGTCCTTCAGAAAGTTAATCTATTTCATGTAAGTTATCAAATTTGTTTTTATGTGTGTTTACATGTTCATAGCATTTCTTTATGTTCTTTTAATGCCCATGGGACCAATATTCATGATCTCTCTTTCACTTATAATATTGGTAATTATTCTTGTTTATTGGCTAGGCTGGTGAGAAGTATATCAGTTTTATTGCTTTCTTCAAATAACCCCATTTTGGTTTATTGATATTCTTCATTGATGTCCTGCCTTCAATTTATCTGATTATTGTGATTAATTATATTATTCTTTTTCTTCTGTTTTCTTTAGTTAAAAATGTTCGATTTCTTTTATTTTCTAAGCTGAAAAATTATCAATGTTAGATCATTTTTCTTTTCTCATATATGTATTTCATGATACATATCTTCCTGTAGATATTGTTTTTGCTGCATTCAACAACTTGTATAAGTTGTATCTTCATTTCTATTAGTTGAAAACATCTGCATATTTCTCTTAAGACTTCTTTTGATTATACGTTATTAAGAAATCTATTGTTTAATTTTTCAACTATCTTTATTGATTTCTGGTTTAATTTTATTGGGAGTTTGAGGACATGTTTTGTTAAATTTCTAATTTTTTAAATTTGTTGTGGTTTGTTTTATGACACAGAATGTGATATATCTTGGTGACAGATCCATATCAGCTTGAGAAAGTATGTATTTTGCTATCTCTGGATGGAGTAATCTATAAGTGTAAATTAGATCAAGTTGGTTGATACTATTATTCAATATTTTTCTGATTCTCTGCCTGCTTGAGATATCAGTTATTCAAAGAGCAGTACTGCAGCCTCCAACTATAATAGTAGATATATTTATTTCAAGTTGCAAGTTATACCATTTTTTTGTCTTATGTATTTTGACTCTATTGTTAGGTACACATACTTTTAGCATTGTTATTTTTGCTCAATTTACTTCTTTATCATTATTTAATGTCTTTTATTTCTAATAATTGTTCTTTCTTTGCAAAATCCCTTTTGTCTGAAATTAATATAGCAATTTCAACTTTATTTTGGTTAGTGTTACCATGGTATATATTTCTCCATCTCTTTAATTTTAATCTATTAGAATCTTTATATTTAAAATTAATTAGTTATTTGTATACAAAATATATTTGGCTCTTATTTTTCTATTTACTCTTACAGTCTCCATCTTTGAATTGGTGCATTTAGACCATCGATTTTTTAAGTAATTACTGATATACTTGGAGTAATATAAGCTGTGATTTAAACCCTTTTTTGTTCTTATCGCCAGTGAATTTTTTTTTTTTACTTTCTGGTTTTAATTGAGCATTTTATACGATTCAATTTTATCTCCTCTCTTAATGTATTCATTACGCTTCTTTAAAAAATCTGTTTAAACACTGAACTATAGTTTACAATATACATTCTAACTAATTTAAGCCCACATTTAAATTACAAAATTCAATTTCACCTGTAGTTCAGGTAACTAAAACAGAATATTCCTAATTCCTTCCTCTAATTTCTTATGTCAGTCATTACTGTCATTTTTTGACTTATTAACACTGTTACTATTATTACTTTAAATAAATAGTAATTTTATATATATTATTTATTTATTTCTGAGATGGAGTTTTGCTCTTGTTGCCCAGGCTGGATTGCAATGGTGTGATCTCAGCTCACCACAACCTCTGCTTCCTGGGTTCAAACGATTCTCCTGCCTCAGCCTCCCAAGTAGCTGGGATTACAGGCATGCGCCACCACACCTGGCTAATTTTGCATTTTTAGTAGAGACATAGTTTCTCCATGTTGGTCAGGCTGGTCTTGAACTCTCAAACTCAGGTGATCCTCCTGCCTCAGCCTCCCAAAGTGCTAGGATTACAAGCGTGAGCCACCGCACCCAGCCTCTTATTTATTACTTCTCTGATACTATTTCATTTTAAAATGTGGATCCAAGTTTCTTGCCATTTGCTACCTGCCTAAAGAAAATGTTTAATACAGCTTGCAGGGCAGAGCTGCTGGCAATGAATTCCCTCAGTGTTTTTCTTTGTTTGATAATGTCTTTATTTCTCCTTTGCACTTGAAAGATAATTTCACTGGATATTGAAATCTAGTCTGATAGTTGTTTTTTCCTTTCAATACCTTACATTGTTTTTACTCCAGTCTCTTCTTGCTTGCCTGGTTTCTCTTGAGAAAGTATGCTGTAATCCTTATCTATGCTCCCTAAAGGTAATGTGTCTCCCCTCAACCACCCAAGGACCATCCTTTTCCCCTGGCTACTTTAAAGATATTCTCTTTTCTTTTGTTTGTCTGAAGTTTAAATAAGATATGTATAAATGTATTTCCTTTGGTATTCATTCTATTTGGTGTTCTCTCATCTTCTTGGGTCTGTGATTTAGTGGCTGTTATTAATTTTGGAAAATTCTCCACCAGTGTTACTGTATACGTTGTTTGTACTCTATTCTCTCTTTCTTCTGGTATTGCACTTATGTGTGTCACATGTTTTGAAATAATTGTACAGTCATTGAATGGTCTGTCCTTTTTTAAAACTATTTTTTCTCTTTCTATTTCAGTTTGTGAAGCTCCTATCATCAAACTCACTGATTCTTCACTAAACTGTGATCAGTTTACCAATGAGCTCATTATAAACATTATTTATTTCTATTACAGTATTTTTCATGTCTACTTCTTTCTTTCATTTTATTCTCGGAGTTTCCATCTCTCTTCATAGTTTATCTATTTGTTTTCTCAAGCACTCTACTTTTCCCATGAGAACCATTACCATATCAATTATAATTATCTTACATTTTCTATAATTCCAGCATCTTTGTCATATCGACTGGTTCTGATGTACCAACCTCTTCAAACTGTAATATTTTGTTGGAAGCTTGATATGATATTGGTCATAGGAATTGAGATATATAAGCCCTTAGTATAAGGTTTTATGTTAATTTGACTAGGAGTTTAGGTTTTGTTTGATGCTTATTGTCATTATAGGTACCAGAGGCTTTAAATTCTCCAGTGTCCTTGATTTGTCTTCTCTTTTCACATTGGCTTCCTCAGAGAGGGTCTGCATCTTGCAGTTTTTTCAGCTGTAATCTGTAAACCTATTCTCCATTTTGATGTGGTGTTAAGGCATAAAACAAGAGGAGTGTTCTACAAAATTCTAATTAAATCTAATTCTTTTACTGGCCTTGCTTCTCTGAACTGTGATCTTCAGAAGTTCAGAAGTATTTCTTCTTTTAGGGCCAACCTCTCCAACCTCCCACTTTTGGTGTGAAATACAGGCTAGAGGGGACTGGAGTTGGAGGAATGTTCTTTCCTTATTCCTTGGGACAAGGTTCTGGTAAATTCTTATTCCCTGGGTCTTTATTATAGGGAAGGCTCTGGGCATATTTCAAAAGGATTACCCTTTAACTCCTCCTACTAGTGCCAGGAAAGTATCTTTCTCTGGTCTTCAGCATGTGAAGATTCCTGGATGTTGCTGGAGGTAAATCCTACAGAAGTGTGGGAGCCTCCCTAGGACTATAGCCCCAGAATGAAGTATGAGCTTCATTCAAACTAGTACACACACCCTCTCCAGCAATTCATCAAAATTATTATTTAAGTGTTTCTATCATTTTATATCCTTAGTGGTTTCTGCTCTACATAAACAGATTTCACCTGTAACTCTGAATTTATATGGTTCTTCAGATTTCAGGCTGGAGGTTAGGCTTGAAAACTCATTCCTCTGATGGGTATAAGAAAAGTCATTAGTGTTTAACTTACCTAGATTTTTTTTGTTGTAAAATGGGATATGTCAGAGCTAAAATTAGAAGTCCCTGTTTGTTTGTTTGTTTTTGTTTTTAAGAGCCAAGGACCCTACATCCTGCCCTCTCTTATAGAGTGGTTAAGAGCGATGAGTGATGACTACAATTTTAAAGAAAACAATCAGAGACAATATATTTCTCACCTGAGCTGTGCCTGCCTTCTATACCTGTGGCTGGAGGGTCGTACCAATAACTTTCCTTAACTTGGTTTTGCCCTGGAGATATTTCTTTTTAAAAAGATGCTCAAGCACACAAGAGAATGGGAGTCTTCATGGATTGGCTCTATTTAATGATATATAAAATAAATAAATTTTTCTCTACACTCACACAGAACCCTTCTGACACCAAATGTCTGGTGGTTTTTCCCACACCAACCAATTCTCCAATGTTTGGTGGACAATTTAACTCAATTCTGACATTAAATGCACATAGTTTGTATAGACTCCACAAGCTAAGAGCTCAGTGGCACAAGACTTACCCCCAACTTCAGATGCCAGTTGAAAGTCTGGACCTCTTGTACTTATGACCCACCAGCTATAAGTCAGGAATATCCATGACTCCTTGGGTTCAGTAATTTGATAGAATGGCTCAAATAATTCAGGGAAATATTTACTTATATTTACCTGTTTATCATAAAAAGATACAACTCAGGATACATCTTTCCCAAATGGAAAAGACGCACAGTGCAAGGTACAGGGGCAACGTGGAGCTTCCACATGCTCTCTCCAAGCATGTTGCCCTTCCAGCACCTCTATGTGTTTGGCCACCCAGAAGCTCTCTGAATCCTTTCCATTACAGTTTTGATGGAGACTTCATTACATAAGAATTACTGATTAAATAATTGGCTATAGTTTTGAGGAGGAGCCAAGATGGCCGAATAGGAACAGCTCTGGTCTACAGCTCCCAGCATGAGCGACGCAGAAGACAGGTGATTTCTGCATTTCCATATGAGGTACCGGGTTCATCTCACTAGGGAGTGCCAGACAGTGGGCGCAGGTCAGTGGGTGCACGCACCGTGCGCCAGCCAAAGCAGGGCGAGGCATTGCCTCACTCGGGAAGCGCAAGGGGTCAGGGAGTTCCCTTTCCGAGTCAAAGAAAGGGGTGACAGACGGCACCTGGAAAATCGGGTCACTCCCACCCAAATACTGCGCTTTTCCGACAGGCTTAAAAAACAGCACACCAGGAGATTTTATCCTGCACCTGGCTCAGAGGGTCCTACGCCCACGGAGTCTCGCTGATTGCTAGCACAGCAGTCTGAGATCAAACTGCAACGCGGCAGCAAGGCTGGGGAGGGGCGCCTGCCATTGCCCAGGCTTGCTTAGGTAAACAAAGCAGCCAGGAAGCTCGAACAGGGTGAAGCCCACCACAGCTCAAGGAGGCCTGCCTGCCTCTGTAGGCTCCACCTCTGGGGGCAGGGCACAGACAGACGAAAAGACAGCAATAACCTCTGCAGACTTAAATGTCCCAGTCTGACAGCTTTGAAGAGAGCAGTGGTTCTCCCACCATGCAGCTGGAGATCTGAGAACGGGCAGACTGCCTCCTCAAGTGGGTCCCTGACCCCTGAGCAGCCTAATTGGGAGGCACCCCCCGCAGCAGGGGCAGACTGACACCTCACAAGGCCAGGTACTCCAACAGACCTGCAGCTGAGGGTCCTGTCTGTTAGAAGGAAAACTAACAAACAGAATGGACATCCACACCGAAAACCCATCTGTACGTCACCATCATCAAAGACCAAAAGTAGATAAAACCACAAAGATGGGGAAAAAACAGAGCAGAAAAACTGGAAACTCTAAAAAGCAGAGCGCCTCTCCTCCTCCAAAGGAACACAGTTCCTCACCAGCAACGGAGCAAAGCTGGATGGAGAATGACTTTGACGAGCTGAGAGAAGAAGGCTTCAGACGATCAAATTACTCTGAGCTACGGGAGGACATTCAAACCAAAGGCAAAGAAGTTGAAAACTTTGAAAAAAATTTAGAAGAATGTATAACTAGAATAACCAATACAGAGAAGTGCTTAAAGGAGCTGATGGAGCTGAAAACCAAGGCTCGAGAACTACGTGAAGAATGCAGAAGCCTCAGGAGCCGATGCGATCAACTGGAAGAAAGAGTATCAGCGATGGAAGATGAAGTGAATGAAATGAAGCGAGAAGGGAAGTTTAGAGAAAAAAGAATAAAAAGAAACGAGCAAAGCCTCCAAGAAATATGGGACTATGTGAAAAGACCAAATCTATGTCTGATTGGTGTACCTGAAAGCGATGGGGAGAATGGAACCAAGTTGGAAAACACTCTGCAGGATAATATCCAGGAGAACTTCCCCAATCTAGCAAGGCAGGCCAACATTCAGATTCAGGAAATACAGAGAACGCCACAGAGATACTCCTCGAGAAGAGCAACTCCAAGACACATAATTGTCAGATTCACCAAAGTTGAAATGAAGGAAAAAATATTAAGGACAGCCAGAAAGAAAGGTCAGGTTACCCACAAAGGGAAGCCCATCAGACTAACAGTGGATCTCTTGGCAGAAACTCTACAAGCCAGAAGAGAGTGGGGGCCAATATTCAACATTCTTAAAGAAAAGAATTTTCAACCCAGAATTTCATATCCAGGCTAACTAAGCTTCATAAGTGAAGGAGAAATAGAATACTTTACAGACAAGCAAATGCTGAGAGATTTTGTCACCACCAGGCCTGCCCTAAAAGACCTCCTGAAGGAAGTGCTAAACATGGAAAGGAACAATCGGTGCCAGCCGCTGCAAAATCATGCCAAAATGTAAAGACCATCGAGAATAGGAAGAAACTGCAGGAACTAACGAGCAAAATAACCAGCTAACATCATAATGACCCAAATTCACACATAATAATATTAACTTTAAATGTAAACGGGCTAAATGCTCCAATTAAAAGACACAGACTGGCAAATTGGATAAAGAGTCAAGACCCATCAGTGTGCTGTATTCAGGAAACCCATCTCACATGCAGAGACACACATAGGCTCAAAATAAAAGGATGGAGGAAGATCTACCAAGCAAATGGAAAACAAAAAAAGGCAGGGTTTGCAATCCTAGTCTCTGATAAAACAGACTTTAAACCAACAAAGATCAAAAGAGACAAAGAAGGCCATTACATAATGGTAAAGGGATCAATTCAACAAGAAGAGCTAACTATCCTAAATATACATGCACCCAATACAGGAGGACCCAGATTCATAAAGCAAGTCCTGAGTGACCTACAAAGAGACGTAGACTCCCACACATTAATAATGGGAGACTTTAACACCCCACTGTCAAAATTAGACAGATCAATGAGACAGAAAGTCAACAAGGATACCCAGGAATTGAACTCAGCTCTGCACCAAGTAGACCTAATAGACATCTACAGAACTCTCCACCCCAAATCAACAGAATATACATTTTTTTCATCACCACACCACACCTATTCCAAAACTGACCATGTACTTGGAAGTAAAGCTGTCCTCAGCAAATGTAAAAGAACAGAAATTATAACAAACTGTCTCTCAGACCACAGTGCAATCAAACTAGAACTCAGCATTAAGAATCTCACTCAAAACTGCTCAACTACATGGAAACTGAACAACCTGCTCCTGAATGACTACTGGGTACATAACGAAATGAAGGCAGAAATAAAGATGTTCTTTGAAACCAACAAGAACAAAGACACAACACACCAGAATCTCTGGGACACATTCAAAGCAGTGTGTAGAGGGAAATTTATAGCACTAAATGCCTACAAGAGAAAGCAGTAAAGATCCAAAATTGACACCCTAACATCACAATTAAAAGAACTAGAAAAGCAAGAGCAAACACATTCAAAAGCTAGCAGAAGGCAAGAAATAACTAAGATCAGAGCAGAACTGAAGGAAATGGAGACACAAAAAACCCTTCAAAAAATTAATGAATCCAGGAACTGGTTTTTTGAAAGGATCAACAAAATTGATAGACTGCTAGCAAGACTAATAAAGAAAAAAAGAGAGAAGAATCAAATAGACACAATAAAAAATGATAAAGGGGATATCACCACCGATCCCACAGAAATACAAACTACCATCAGAGAATACTACAAACACCTCTAAGCAAATAAACTAGAAAATCTAGAAGAAATGGATAAATTCCTCAACACATACACTCTCCCAAGACTAAACCAGGAAGAAGTTCAATCTCTGAATAGACCAATAACAGGAGCTGAAATTGTGGCAATAATCAATAGCTTACCAACCAAAAAGAGTCCAGGACCAGATGGATTCACAGCCGAATTCTACCACAGGTACAAGGAGGAACTGGTACCATTCCTTCTGAAACTATACCAATCAATAGAAAAAGAGGGAATCCTCCCTAACTCATTTTATGAGGCCAACATCATCCTGATACCAAAGCCGGGCAGAGACACAACCAGAAATGAGAATTTTAGACCAATATCCTTGATGAACATTGATGCAAAAATCCTCAATAAAATACTGGGAAACCAAATCCAGCAGCACATCAAAAAGCTTATCCACCATGATCAAGTGGGCTTCATCCCTGGGATGCAAGGCTGGTTCAATATACACAAATCAATAAATGTAATCCAGCATATAAACAGAACCAAAGACAAAAACCACATGATTATCTCAATAGATGCAGAAAAGGCCTTTGACAAAATTCAACAACCCTTCATGCTAAAAACTCTCTATCAATTAGGTATCGATGGGACGTATCTCAAAATAATAAGAGCTATCTATGAAAAACCCACAGCCAATATAATACTGAATGGGCAAAAGCTGGAAGCATTCCCTTTGAAAACTGGCACAAGACAGGGATGCCCTCTCTCACCACTCCTATTCAACATAATGTTGGAAGTTCTGGCCAGGGCAATTAGGCAGGAGAAGGAAATAAAGGGCATTCAATTAGGAAAAGAGGAAGTCAAATTGTCCCTGTTTGCAGATGACATGATTGTATATCTAGAAAACCCCATTGTCTCAGCCCAAAATCTACTTAAGCTGATAAGCAACTTCAGCAAAGTCCCAGGATATAAAATCAACGTACAAAAATCACAAGCATTCTTATACACCAACAACAGACAAACAGCCAAATCATGAGTGAAATCGCATTCACAACTGCTTCAAAGAGAATAAAATACCTAGGAATCCAACTTACAAGGGATGTGAAGGACCTCTTCAAGGAGAACTACAAACCACTGCTCAAGGAAATAAAAGAGGATACAAACAAATGGAAGAACATTCCATGCTCATGGGTAGGAAGAATCAATGTCATGAAAATGGCCATACTGCCCAAGGTAATTTACAGATTCAATGCCATCCCTACCAAGCTACCAATGACTTTCTTCACACAATTGGAAAAAAGTATTTTAAAGTTCATATGGAACCAAAAAAGAGCCCACATTGCCAAGTCAATCCTAAGCCAAAAGAACAAAGCTGGAGGCATTACACTACCTGACTTCAAACTATACTAAAAGGCTACAGTAACCAAAACAGCATGGTACTGGTACCACAACAGAGATATAGATCAATGGAACAGAACAGAGCCCTCAGAAATAATGCCGCATATCTACAACTATCTGATCTTTGACAAACCTGAGAAAAACAAGCAATGGGGAAAGGATTCCCTATTTAATAAATGGTGCTGGGAAAACTGGCTAACCATATGTAGAAAGCTGAAACTGGATCCCTTCCTTACACCTTATACAAAAATTAATTCAAGATGGATTAAAGACTTAAATGTTAGACCTAAAACCATAAAAACCCTAGAAGAAAACCTAGGCATTACCATTCAGGACATAGGCATGGGTAAGGACTTCATGTCTAAAACACCAAAAGCAATGGCAACCAAAGCCAAAATTGACAAATGGGATCTAATTAAACTAAAGAGCTTCTGCACAGCAAAAGAAACCACTGTCAGAGTGAACAGGCAACCTACAAAATGGCAGAAAATTTTCACAATCTACTCATCTGACAAAGGGCTAATATCCAGAATCTACAATGAACTCAAACAAATTTACAAGAAAAAAACAAACAACCCCATCAAAAAGTGGGCAAAGGACATGAACAGACACTTCTCAAAAGAAGACATTTATGCAGCCAAAAAACACATGAAAAAATGCTCACCATCACTAGCCATCAGAGAAATGCAAATCAAAACCATAATGAGATACCATCTCACAGCAGTTAGAATGGCAATCATTAAAAAGTCAGGAAACAACAGGTGCTGGAGAGGATATGGAGAAATAGGAACACTTTTACACTGTTGGTGGGACTGTAAACTAGTTCAACCATTGTGGAAGTTAATGTGGCGATTCCTCAGGGATCTAGAACTAGAAATACCATTTGACCCAGCCATCCCATTACTGGGTATATACCCAAATGACTATAAATCATGCTGCTGTAAAGACACATGCACACGTATGTTTATTGCGGCATTATTCACAATAGCAAAGACTTGGAACCAACCCAAATGTCCAACAATGATTGATAGACTGGATTAAGAAAATGTGGCACATATACACCATGGAATACTATGCAGCCATAAAAAAGGATGAGTTCATGTCCTTTGTAGGGACATGGATGAAATTGGAAATCATCATTCTCAGTAAACTAAACTATCACAAGAACAAAAAACCAAACACCGCATATTCTCACTCATAGGTTGGAATTGAACAATGAGAACACATGGACACAGGAAGGGGAACATCACACTCTGGGGACTGTGGTGGGGTGGGGGGAGGTGGGAGGGATAGCATTGGGAGATATACCTAATGCCAGATGATGTGTTAGTGGGTGCAGCTCACCAGCATGGCACATGTATACATATGTAACTAACTTGCACATTGTGCACATGTACCCTAAAACTTAAAGTATAATAATAATAAAAAAAGAAAAAAAAAGAAAAAAATAATTGGCTATTGGTGATTAAAGCTAATCTCCAGCCTGTCTTCCCCTTCCCAGAGGTCAAGGGTTAGGGCTGAAAGTTCCAACCCTCTTGTCACATGGTTGTTTCCTCAAGCAACCAGTCCCATCCCCTAAGAGTCACCTCATTAGCATAAACTCAGGTGTAGTTGATTGGGGCTTATTATGCATAGCAAAAAATGCCCCTCTCACCCCTATAGGGAAATTCCAAGGGTTTTATGAATTTTCTGCCAGGAACCAAGGACAGAAACAGAATATGTATTTCTTCTATGACAATATCATAGGATGTCTCTATTATATTTGTATATTTTCATTGTTTATTCAAAAGATGTTGTGAGCTGAATTATAGCAGAAAAATCTCTGCTCCACATTCTCATGTGACTGTCTCTATCTTTAGTGTGTTCAGATGCAGAATTTTAACCAACTTCATTTCCGCTCTCCAAGGGAACCCATGGATACCTGTCACTACAGCATGTTTCCTTAAGAATACCAAGTTCTTATTTCTTTATTTTCTTTTTTTCCTTTAGAGTGCCACATCATTGTTATTCCCCCAAGATCCTGGATTCCAGACAGCCCAGTGGAGCACCATAGAAAGAACTTTCAGGAAGCAGAGAATGGTTCAGGGATTCTGATTTTCCTGAACTTCCTCCTCCCTATCCACCTCCAATTAGGAAAAAAGAAGAAAAAAAAGATTAAACACGTCCAGAATGTTAAAAATCCAGTAGGGATTTTAAATGTTCACTATTACAGCACATACATTTATACACAAGGAGGTCTGAAGGCTTTCTGGTTTCAATTAAGATTATTATCTCCTTTGAGTGATGGTTTCTCCTTTTTTCCCCCAGAATTCCCTTTGGCTGATCTATTTTAAAAGAGTATGAGCTAGGGATAACTAGGCTTATTTGTATTGAGTCTACTTTCCCCTCCAGGTCTCTTTGTCTTAAATTCTGAAGTCCCTTTTCCTATCCTGCTAAAGGTTAGCAGCTTGAAATCAAGGACATGAGTCATTGTTACTTTTCATGTGGAAGATAAGCTCTGTGGCTTTTATAGCAAAAAGTATATACAATTCTAAAATTAAAGTGCAAGTCAGAAAGGCCATTGGGGCTGTGAAAAGTCCTTATCTAAATCAGAAGACCAAGGTCAAGTTTGTATCATGCCTATTAGTACATGGGTTTCATTGGTTAAGTTACCAAACCTCTGAGCCTCAGTTTCCTTATCAGTCAAATGAGTGCAATAATTCCCGCCCTATCATCTGACAAATTATTGAGAAATTCTAATTACATGCCTATAATTTTCAGGTCTTTGTTTTTCAGGTCTTTGTTAAGCATCATGCACATAAACGTTTGTATTACACTTTCTTTAGCAGTATTTGAACATGGTACCTTATTCAATGTTCTGAAACAAATCATGAATACTTCCTGGTGTGGTGATAATATCTTCATAAACTTGTGACACCCGATGGAATGTGAGTCGGTTTTGTAATAGCCTTTAAAAACTTCCCTCAATACATAATAAAGAATGGTAAAAAATTTTGGTTGAGGAAACTAATGATACATCCAAAATAACACATTCAGTTTTCCAGTGAAGAATATTCTCAAAGTAAAATGCTGTTTAGACTTACTTAAAGGTTCTTAAAACAAGTTATACAAAGGGATAGTATTGAAATCCATCTTTTAATAGATATATACTAGTAATTATGTTGAAGACCCAGGAAAATACTATTAATAGGTGTGAAATTTAAATCACACTAATTAGTACTTTAAAATATTATTCCTTCACGTTATTTTAAAGAAGCTTTTCCTACATGTGTGACCTATTCTGTCAAACACAGCCATGAATATCTAGTATACTAAATTGGTCCTATTCTGACTCCAATTTTCAAACACTTTTAACATAGGACTATAGAGTTCATATTTACAAAGTGTGTGCATGCCTATGTGTATCACTAATATGTAGTATATGCATACTAAATATGCACATGGGTATTTCAAACTCTGTTGGCTTGACTCTAAATGTTCAGCTATCGATGTTATTCTTGGTATTTAGAGGTTTTATTTATATATTTATCTTTCTTGACTTTCCCACTGGGAGGTGTCTTCTGATATTTCAGCCTCTAGCATCTCAGTCCCATACATTCAGCCCTCACTGGGAAGTTTAATTCCAGGTTACTAATTTCAGAGCATCCCAAAGATGCTGTTTAGCTAGGTAGTGCCTTAATATATCTTAGAATTAAAAGAAAATACTTTCTGTCTCTCAGGGCATTTGAAAGCTCAAACTCTCCTCTTTGAACTTCCCTCTCTCATTATATTGCCATCACAAATCTTTGTCCATCACTAGGTGGTACAACTCCCCCTCCCCTCACCTGCCTCACACACATATGACCTACAGTGGAAAACTGAGCTCCAGATGGTTCATGGACTTGCCCAAAGTCACCTGTACCATTGCTGACTTGGAACTTGAATGTCCAAGCCTTCTAAATCCTCATCTGCATTTTTCACATTAGAGAATTTTGATCTCTGACTTCCAACAGTTATTTCAGGAGAGGAAAATGCATGGCTTCACTATCCAATGGACTAAAAAATTGAGTAAGGGATAGAACATATTTTACACTCCAACTTGAAAACTTGTCGTAATGATGCTCTTCCAGCATGAAGAAATTAAAATTGGCCTTCCTCTTCGTTCTCCTGAATTGTTCACTGTAACTGAGTGGAGATATTTTAGGAGGGTTCTTACTGTGGCTTCTGAAGACCTTTTTCAGAATAAGGTCTTTTTTTCAAAAACACCACACAAAATACAATACAAAAATACAATACAAAAATTTTCAAAAATACAGTATTAGTTTGAAGCTTGGTAAGTTTTGACTATTGCCTATACCTATGTAACTGCTACCTAAAACAAGATATAGAAATATTCTAACTTCCCAGAGAGATTCTTCATGCCCCTTTCATTCAGTGTCATCCCAGACCCCACAAAGGCAATTCCTTCTGATGGTATGTATGTATTCTTTAGTGTCTGATATTTTTTAGATTTATTTATATTGTCATATGTATCAGTAGGCCATTCATTTTTGTTGTTGATGAATATTTCATTGTGTGAATATGCTGCAATTTGTTGATTCAAATACCTCCTGATAGTTGTTTTCCGTTTGGGGCTGTTAAGAATAAGGCTTCCATAAACTTTCTTGCCTAAGTCTTGCATGCATTGATGTTTTTATTTCTCTTGCGTACATAGCTGGGATTCAAATTGTTGGCTTATAGGTTGTATCTATGCTTAGTTTATTTTTAAAATTGCCAGAGTTTTTGAAGCCTGCCTCTACAAGCAGTGTGTGAGAAGTTTAGCTACTTCATTACCTCCAAACCATTTGGTATTATCAGTCTTTTTATTTATCTCAATTGGAAAATATTAAATGGCTTTATATTATGGCTTAAAGTTGCATTTACCTGGTAACTGAGTGCCTTATCTTGAGCTTCTTGTCTATTCATGCATTTTTTTGGTGATTATGTGTTTAAGTCTTTTGCCCATTTAAAATTGGATTTTTTTTGTTATGGCTTTATAGGAATACATCATGTATTCTGCATATAATTTATTTATCCAATATTATATATTGAAAAACTTTTCTTCTTGTCTGTAATTTGCCAGTTTATTTTGTTAATGGTGCTTTTTAATGAGTGTATCTTTTTAATTTTGATGAAGTCTTATCCTATTTGTCTTTTATGATTAGTGATTTTTATTTGTCTATTTTTGTCTGACCCAAGATTAAAAAGGTACTTCCTATATTTTCTTCTAGAAGTTTCATGGTTCCAGCTTTCCCATTTCAGACTCTGTAACATCTCAAGTTAACTTTTGTGCCTGGAATGAGTTACAGGTCAATAATTACATTGTTTATTTGAGAATCTAACACCATTGTTTGAAAATAATATCCTTACCTCATTCATTTGACTTGGCACCTGAATAAGTCATCTTTAATACTGAGAAATGGTATTGCTGGTCTTTCATGCATTTTCTGAGACATGTAGATGACTTCATGGATACTTAAAATATTATGGGTCTATCACTGTGCCTTTGCACATAAACTTTTTTCTGCCCAAGATGCCATTCTTCTTATTATTTTGTGTTTACTACCCAAAACACAGCTTAGTAGTCTCAGACACCTTCGTTAATTTTTCCCATATGGTGCAACTAAATGCCTCTGTTGGGCACAGTGAATTGCTCTATCAAAATATTTGTCTTATGACTTGCTAATTTTCTCTTTACTTGACTTTCTCCCCAAGCAGACAGTGATTTACTTGAAAACAGGTCTGCTTTTTTATCTCTGTATCTTTATTACTCAGCACTGTGACAGGAAAAAAAAGATAGCCACTCAATTTATGATTTTAATCAAATTTGATGGTCCTGATATTCCACAGGAGCAATGTAAGATAGTAAAAGAAATCCATATACTTTGGAAGGATATAATTTTGATTTCAAATATTGGTTCTGCTACTCACTAGCTGTTTGAATTGAGGCAAGTTATTTAATTTCAAAATCTTAGTGTATTAATCTATAATATGAAGCTGTGTAGAACTTCATTTGGAATATTTACAATAAATAAAAGAAATAGTGTCCAGTACATACAGTGTATAGTAGCTGCTAAATAAATGGAGTGAGTGTATTATTATTTTAGCATTAAAAGGGCAAATGAAAGGCTTGTGTTGAGCTCACTAATTACCTGCTATGGTATCCAGGGACTCTTAATGACTAAGTATAAAATGCCATGTTATCTTCTTTTCATAAACACACAGAGTAACAATTTGGGTGCAGTATTCAAGGTATTGCTTCACATAGAATCTGTTCTTTATCTGTCAAATCACAACAAAAGCACTGAACCCTAGCAGACATCAATTCTTGGAATCATAATATTACATCACTGTGGAAATTAGCCAAGTAAGAATGTACTCCAAATTTCAAAGTTGTAACTCTATAGATGTCTTGGAGACATGATATATGAAAGAATAAAACATGTCATAGGAACCCCGGAGATATGGTTACAGCTCTAATTCACATTAACTTCCAAAGAAGGCACTTTAGCTATTAGGCAGTTCCACTAAAAGTCATATTCCTAGGACTACTCCAGAGAATTTATCCTGCTTACCACGCTTTCCTTGGGTTATACATTTTGGTCCCATCCATCCCACTTATAGGCACTTGAGAAGCTTAGAGAATTACAGTATTTTCTCTTGGAAATGCTTTTAAGTAGCATTTTAAATACATGATTTTCCAACATCCCTCCCACTTATGGCACCCATATAGTACCCAGTGTACATATCATTTCCCTGCTGATTGGCTTTCATGTGTTCCAAATGCTTTTCTAAATTGACCTGATACCTATTAAACCTGAAGTGGACTTTTAAGATCTGAAGAACATTTAATCAATGGGACATTAAAGTAAATAAATCATAGCTGAGAGGAGTTCCTTCAAATGATATAATCTTTAATGAGCATTGCACTTGATTTAATAATTTATTAAATATATAAAAAATGATTGGTAAATTGAACACTTGTCTCAGAGCAAGCAATTAGGGCTATTTTTATTCAATTTGTATTTCCCTGAGTTGAGACAATATTTGTTAAGTCTTAAGCCTATTGAATACATCTTTGAATTGTTTATTTTTTTCAATAAAACTCTAAATATTTATTAAATCTTAGTGTTGGTTACACCTGCCTCCTTATTAAATTACAGAAAGTGCAAATAAGAATCAGGGAAGATTTACTAAGATCACAGTAACTGGTATTGAACCTCCAGTGAATTTGTAAAATCTACATAATATTGAATAAATCTGGGTTAAGATTGGTTAAATCTGTTTCACCTCCATTAAATCCAATTAGGGATGTGTTAAAGAGGCCCTATTGTATTGAAGCAAACTTTAAAAGGAGATCATATTTTTTTTCCCCAAATCTCATTAAACTGACATAGGCTGTTTTTGAATTTCCTTTATTCTTCTTAAATTATTGATTATGACTTATGTATTTATGTGAAAAGAGTAGCTTTCTTGTTCTTAACAACCATCTCCCTCTGGACCGATTCAGTTCCTGAGGCCTTGTGTGGGGCCTGGGAAATTGCAGTGCATTCTCCTGGTTGGTTCTTAGTCAAACTTGAATGTTCCCTATTTGAGCTTCTGCCCTTTGTTTCCAAATCCTTGCTGAAAATGAGCAGTTCTTCCCATTCTGGTGCATACATCTCTTATTCCAGTATATCAAGATAAAGGTCATAGACTACATTAAAAATGATTCCTTACTTCTTGTGTTACTAATAACATCTTACATTATTAACCCTGGAACTATTTAAAAAATCTAATTTACTCTTCTCTATGGAGGCCAGACCAGATACTCATCTATATCACTCAATGGAATCATTCATCTCTATTTCTAGGAGAAGTTAGCCTGAGATGGGAGTTTATTTTCTGTATTTCATTTTGCCTGATAATGAAACCTGGCTAACAAATTTTAATCAATCAGTGAATATTTATTAAGCTCCTACTATGTGTTCAGAAGTCTTTGTATGCCTAAGAGCCTATTTTCAAATCACTAAAATCTGATTAGGAAAATCAATTCACTTCAACAAATAGTTTTTGAGTGACTATTGAGCCTCTAATGCCAGGTAGGTGATATAAAGATAAGAAAGATAGAACTCCTTTCCTTCCAGGACACTATTATCTACTTATGAAGGGTAGGGAGGTGGAAAAGAGAACAATGACGTGAATTTTATTTCTATGAAAATGTAGAAAGTGTGGTGTTGAGTAATAAGACACCTAAGAAAATACGTGGAGTCAGATTTTGCATGACATTAAATGCCATGCTAGAGGGACATCCAAGTCTGCAGAAAGGGAAAGTGATGCTAAGAGGGTGGGAGAAAAAAGGGAGGAGAGAAAAGATCAAAAGATGACTTTAACTTGATTTGAGTCAGACTGATTCTAAAGATGATGGTGTCATTAACGAATATGCACAGCACTGAGGGAAGAGATAGCATGGGAGGGAAGAGAAGCTCAATTTTTTAACAAACTAAGTTTGACATACTAGCAAAAAAAAAAAAAAAAAATCTACGTGCAAAAGCCAGCAGCAGTTGGAATTTACGAATAGAGCTCTGGGAGATAAGGGAGGCAGGGGGGGCCAGGTGCGGTGGCTCATGCCTGTAATCACAGCATTTCAGGAGGCCAAGGCAGGTGGGTCACTTGAGGTCAGGAGTTCAAGACCAGCCTAGGCAACATGGTGAAACCCCGTCTCAGCTAAAAATACAAAATTTAGCTAGGTGTAGTGGTGCATGCCTGTAATCCCAGCTACTCAGGAGGCTAAGGCAGGGGAATTGCTTGAACCTGGTAGGCGGAGGTTAGTGAGCTGAGATCACACAGTTGCACACCAGCCTGGGTAACAGAGCGAGACTCCATCTCAAAAAAAAAAAAAAGCAGCGAGAGAGCCAGAGGAGACATATTTGGAAGTCATCTGCTTAGAGAACATAGCTAAATCCACAGAGCTGTCAACAGAGAAAGCAACAAAAGACCGGGTGGACAAGATATGCACTCTAGAATTTTAAGATGATCTACCTGATCAGACTAAAAGGACCATATTTGTGAATAATACAAAGTGAAGTTGAATTGTAGTAAGCAGATAAGTAGTTAGAAATTTGAAAAACAAACATAACATTTACACTAACAATGCTTTTGATTTTTTCCTGAGACTGTTTATCTTATTCGTATACAACTTCTGCATGGATATATTTATTTGGCAAAATATTCAGACACTGCGGAACTATGTAGGGTGAAAAGGAAAAGCTTTTCTCTTCCTTTCATTGCAGTTCATCCCAATGATAACAACTTGGGATGTACCTTCCTATAAAAATGCCTTAGGGTATTTTTTACTTTTATTTTGAAATAAACAAGCCTCCTAATACCTTTCTGAAATAGTATAATGAGTTCCCACATACCCTTCACCTAGCTTCACTCAATGAGAACATTTCTCAGAGCTGTAGTTTATTATTAATTATTATCATCAAAACCAGGAAACTGACATTGGTACAGTCAGCTATGAGTTAAACTAGAGAAATTATTCAGATTTCACCAGTTTTTACATGCACTCATTTTTATGATGCATATAAAGTACTATGAAATTGTATCATATGTATAGATCGTTAAATGCTTCAGATTAAAACAATTAAAAGTACGTAGAATAAAAATTTTCATAACAGGTGGTATGATATTTGAGGGTAGATTTGGGAGCAAGCTAAGAAACGTGGCCATTTGTTATGTCCCAGCAGAAGTGGACTCTCAGGCGAACAGGCTGTGCGTGGAGAATTTGTCTGGTAAACAGCATGCAGGATGAATTATAGCTAAGGGACAATGGAAGACAGAGGCCAAAGCCAGGAGGGTTGTGAGGTCAGGGGAGAGGACAAAGACTCGCATCAGCATGGTGGCATTTGACAAGCAGAAGAGGCAACTTTTCAGGAGACTAGCGAGCCTGGGAAGTCAGGGGATCCATGTTGGTAATGACAAGAAGAAGAAGAAACTAAATGTGTGGAAGAGAAAAGGGAGCTAAGCTGGCCAATAAATTAAAAGCTAAAGGAAAGGTGAAAGAGGAGGTTAATGAGGAGAGCAAAGGTGATGAAGTCAAATCATGCTGCTGTGATCTGGCATTAGATGCCCAGTCTGCATAATGGAGATCGCATCAGGCTGTTTGGTAGAATGCAATATGTGCTAACATACATGACGTGCTAAAAACCGTGCCTCATTCATAAAAAGGGGCCAATAAATGTTAGCCATTATCATCATGATCATCCTCAGAGGAGGAAAAGCTGAACAATATTTATCTTGTGAATTCGGCTAAAGATTAGAGAAACATTTCGAAGCATGCATCAAATATTTTTCCTTTACTTTTGTATAACAATACCAATTAAATTAATAAAGGAAGCATCACATTTATAGTGTATTTCCAGAATTAAGGTGGAGACAGCAGGAGTCACCCGAAGAATGGAAGGATGGTGCCAATGACTTGAAAAGGAGTTTAGAAGACACCAGTTTGGTGAGTAGATGATGTTTTGGGTTTTAGGGATGTGGTAACAGTAAGATATTCCTGCTGAATGTGTCCAGTGGGCAACTAGAGACAAGGAACAGGAACTCAGTGATTAATGAGGGTTTGCTTTGATTGAAGATGGGGCTGGAAATGTAAATTTAGGAGTCATTAGCATAGAAGTGATGTGTAAAGCCATGAGAATGGATGAGCTCTCCCAGGATGTGTTAAAGGAATAAAAGGCAGAGAGACTTTCTGGCTTTGGGAAGGCGTACTACTGAGGGCAAGAGGAAATGAGAGAATCAGTAATGGAAACAAAGGAAAAGAAGAGATGCAGAGTGGAAGGTAGGAGAAAGTGAGTGAGACACAGGACCGAGGTCAGAGCCAAGGTCAGGCAGATACATCTGCTATGTCGTTGAAGCTGAGCAGTCAGAGAAAACAGACATGAAGAGTCTACAATTGATTGGGTGATACATTCTTTCAAAGCCACTGCAAAAATTTAGGAGAGTAATAAGATGTTCCATGAAAGACTCACTGCTTTGTATATAAATACACTATTTCTCTTTGTTTCTGCCTGATATTTTATACACATTTCAGTGAGAATACAGTGTTGTATAATGGAAAGGGAGTTAAGCTAAAACTCTGCTGTCAGGTTCAAACTCAGAGTGAACTGCTCTGAGCCTGTTTTATTATCAGTAAGATAAGGATATTAATACCTGCTTTATACAGTTGTTTTAAGAATTAAGTAAAATAATTTGCATAAAACACTAGTATCATGCCTGACATAGTTATACAAATTGGTTTATGTATAACCATATTCATATAAATTTATCTACAGCTATATAGCAACAAAATACAAGTTGTCATTTTTACCAAGGCTGCTGGAAATAAGTGAGACTTGAAATAATTAGGGGAGTGGGGGTGTTACCAAGGGAGTCCTTGAGGACACAATTGGGCCAGAAATCTTACACTTTCCTTTATAAAGAAAACTAATTTAAAATGCATAGGCAATTTAATTTAAGGCTTAAGAAAATGCTAAGATAAGTGTTCAGGAATATGTCGGATTAGAAAGAGCATTGTCTTGTATTTTTATAGTAGTAAGAAATTGCACACAATGGAGGTATACGTCAACGGGAAGTTGGTTAAATAAATTCTAATACATTCATAAAGTAAACCACTATGTCATGTAAAGATTAAATTTTTTAAAGAAACAAACTTTTCAGGACTATGTACAACATGATTCTGTTTAGAAGATTTGATAGATAAGTACTTCCAATTTTTTTCCTTGCTTTCTTCCTTCCTTTCTTCCTCCCTTCTTTCCTTTCTTCCTTCTCCTTTCATTTCCTCTTTTTACTTTCTTCCTTTTTTTCATTAAAAAGAATGTGTTATGTTCATAGTAAAATAAACAAAAAGATATTTTGTTTTGATTGAAGAAATATCTCCTAGATTTTGGAAACCTCTTTTACCACAGTGGGAAGAACATAACCCAATGTATGCAGTCATCCCAATGTGATTGCTGCACAAAGCATAAAGTGACCCCCAAAAGGAACACAGCCATAACACTTCTTCACAGAGTCAACTTCTAGTTGTAGAATATGGAAGATTGTATTTTCCAAAGATTGCTGCACAAAGCATAAAGTGACCCCAAAAAGGAACACAGCCATAAGGCTCCCTCACAGAGTCAATTTCTAGTTGTAGAATATGGAAGATTGTATTTCCCAAAGATGGTTAAACCAATATATTCCCTGCCACATGCTCTTCTTGCAGGGTGACATTTGAGACATGAGGTCTATATGGCCTACCCTTAAATCTCAATGGAGCTGTGACTATGGTGGAAGTTCCACTATATCATTTCTGAAGCTGAGCTTTAAAGATGATACAGCTTCCACCTGGCTCTTTTAAAACACTCACCCTTGGAACCCAGCTGCATGTTGCGAAGAAGAGACCACATGGAAAGGCTGGCGAGGTCCCAGCCAATAACCAGCAACAACTGCCGGACATGCGAGTGAATGAGCCTTCACTAAATGATAGACCCTGTCTTTGAGCCACTCCAGTTGACGCTTGGTAAAGCAGAGTAGAGTTGTGCCAATGATCCTAGCCCAAATTACAGATTTGTTAGCAAACTAAATGATGTTGTTACTTTAAATCACTAAATTTTGGGATCATTTGTGGTGCAGCAATAGGCAATTGGAACAAAGCGTAAAATGCTACTCTTGATCAATCAGTGGTGGAGACTTCTGCAAAGTAGAAGCTGCAATTTATATGAAGAGTATCTTGCATTAGAGAGTCCCCTTCCTTCCTCCACATCTTTTCTTCTATATTTTACATTCAATGAAGTAATGCATTCACATAATTAAGAGGAAAGAAATGTTCTCTTGCTGTATAACCAAAATGTGATAGATATTTTGGTCAACACTTTTTATCCTTTATCTTATTTTTCACAGCAGCCTTATGAGGTATCCATTATTATCCGTCAACTTACAAATAAAGACAAAGGGGTTCGAAAGCATTAGGTAACTTGCTTAAGGTCACATAAAGAGTAAGTGGAAAAGCCAGAGGTAAAACTCAGATTTTCTCTTGTATGCCAAGCTGCCTACTATCAGAAAATGTACTATATATTCAGCCTTGATGTCAAATACACTGACTTCATATTTTTATGTATTCTATTAGTCAACAGAACTTCTTTGTATAGTCTTATGCCACAAGCACCTTCAAGGTGGGAGGGCAAGAGGCTATCCAATCAATAGGGCAGATGTTCCAAGAAGGTCTATTGGGATATGCCATAATAGGACACTACTGACCCTACAGAAAACCATGACTAAACGAAATTTTAAAATGCTACTGTCAGAGGTACAGCAGATGGAAAGTTAAAGAGCCAGGACAGATCATGATAATTTTAATAGACTAGATGATATGATGGTATGATTGGTTTGGGGGTATAGTGAGATGTGAGGTCCAGGGAGAAGACAACATATGTCTCTTTAAGAACTGTTTTGGCCAAATTGTATGTATGTATGTATGTATGTATGTATGTATCTATCTATCTGTCTATCTCTATCTGTGTATCTGTCTATCTATTTATCTGTTTACCTTTCTATGTAATCTGTCTATATTCAGCTGTCATATGCACACATACATATATTAGTTTGCATTGAAGCCAATCATTGAGGCCTCAGCTGATGACAGTTCAAGAGTTTCCATGGAGAAAAGGCTTGAGGAAGCAGTCTCCACAAGGACGAGGATGACAGGTTGTGCTCAAAGTCCTGTTTGCATGTTAAGCACAATGTTTTTGTTCAAAGAGTACATTTATATGGATGACTTGGGAGGCTGAAGGACATTGTGTTAGGAGGCAAGTAGGGTTTGAAGCATACCCAAGGCATCCTCCTCACCAGGCTTATTTACTAATTATGATGTCTTGCTTTTTACCAGTGACACATGTTTCTATATAGGAAAAGCAGAAATTTGGAAGGAGAGCTAACAAGTTCAGCTGAGGCTGAGGACAATCAACAGGTGAACAAATAACTATTCTGTACTCATTTGTTCTAAATAGTAAATTAGTAATTTTTATTTACCTAGAAGGTCTCTATATAGAAGAAATGACTTCATTATATCTGTCACCTATGAGGTGGGAATTGAATCCCAGAGGATATCGTATAGGGAGGGCAACTCCAGATGAACGGATGGACCAGGAATAGAAAAAAAATGTGACTTTTACTTTATTTTCAGGAGCTGCAGTATCTAGGATGGGCCTGGGATATAAAGTGAACACTCAATTCAGAATACTGTCATAGAAAGAGAAATTCTGAAGCATAGCTTAAATACAGAATTGTAACTTTTGCTCTGTCTGTTTCAGTAATTTTAGGGAGTCCAAGTTGTTAGACCAAAGCAACTCTTATTAAAGCCTCTTGTCCCCTTGTTTTAGATCCAGAAGACTACTGTAAGGTTTTCACTATTCTGATCATCCTTAAGTCATTTTATCCCAGACAGCTTGACCCTTTGAGCCTCTCCTTCCCCTGTAGCTGGAAATGTGCTTCTGATACACTAATGCTGCCCTCCTCAGCCACTGAGAACCCCATGATCCTGCCGTTGGCAGGAACTGAGACACTACCACAAAGCGCCCCAGAGGTGGACCTGTCTTTACCCCACCACTGAGACCAGGGGTCCAATTCACGTTAATCCCCACCCCTGCCCTCCAATAGTCTCATAACTGAGCTCCCCACCTATAGTTTCTTCCTATTCCAATTAATTCTACACAGTGTTTCAAGGTTAATGTTCCCAATCTTAGCACTTCTGTGGCAGACTCTCCCATTGGCAATCAGGTGAAAATGCATTAAACCTAGTTATGCATTTAATTACAAGCCCAGCCTCATTCCCCAACACTACCCTCCATCGGTAGTCGTAGTGTTTACCCGTATTTGACCATTAGCTCTTTCCTAAGCATTTCTGTGGTAGATTGATTGCAAAAATGACCCCAATTTTAGATCTGAATCTATACCCTTTGCAATATGACTTTGCAGCTCTCCCCTTACGTCTAGGCTATATCCTGTGACTTGCTTGGCTCAATAGAATGCAATGAAAGTGATGATGTGACAGTTGGGAACCTAGACTTCAAGAGACCTTGCATGATTTTACTCTCCCTACCACTCCTCTGCCTTTGTCATGAGGCTTTGTGTGGGCCAGCCTGTTGCAGTATGAGACCCACGGAGCAGAGCCGCATCAGCCCAGCAATTCGAGCTAAGGCTCTGCATCTGTACCAGAGCCCATCCAAGGTCAGTTGCACCACCAGCCTGACTGGCAATTGACCACACATGCATGTGTGAGCCCTATAAGCTAGACCACATCAGCAGAACTGCCCAGCCAGCTCATACCTGGTGAAAAATGCTACATTACTTTAAGCCATTAAATTTTGGGGTGGCTTATTAGTTAGCAATAGCTAACTTATACAATGTCTCAGGTTTTTTTTTTCCTTTTTTTTCTTCTCTTGGCCTGTGTTTCTGCTGTCTCCCTGCCTGGGTTGCCCTTTACCTCTCCTACTTGAGAACTCCTAGGGCAGTCTTGTTATATGGTTTTGCAGAGGGAAGCCTGACTCCTTTTCTTGGCTTTAAAAGCAGACTTAATCTATTTCAACTTATGTCAAGGAGTTTGCTATATCTTAGTTTTTTTCCCATGATTTTTCCATGCTTATCTTTTCTCATTTTTAAGATATTGAGAGGGTTGGCATTAGGTGAATCCCCTTTGCCTGCTCCTGTCTGGTGAAGCTCAGCTAGAAATATAAACAATAAGCCTTCAAGCATCATGGTGGCAAGAGCATCGGAAAATATAGTATCTATTCACTTAGGATTTTATGCAAATCATAACTGAAAGGTTAGAAGTGGTCAGATTGTGTGTCACAGATATGAATGTGTAAGGATGATTGTCTGCTTCTTTTGTTGAGCAAGCATGCATTGTAAATGGGATAAATAAGCAGAAGCACAGGCAGAAAAGTCAACAGCAGTTCTTGAGGATTAAGTGAATTCTCTTTCTAAAAAATCCGCCCAGCCCATATCTCCTCAAGTGTAACTTGCTTTAGAGATTTGCTTTTAAATAATGCGCAAAGAAACCTAAATAAACACATCAAGTAGCATCATGTCCCAGAAGAAGTGGCTGCAGAAAGCAAAGGGGTTATTGTGAGTTTGACTCCAGTCACAAAGGAGTCTGTAAAACACAAGATCCTGGGGTTTTCTCTGTGTTTTTTCTCCCTGACATCCAGAAGACATTTTCTCATCATATAACTCCTTGATACATTCTGTAATTTGCCAGGATTGCAGCCCCCTCTTGAGATCTGAGCACCCAGCTGTGACTTTCTTGTCTCTAGAGTCATCCCTGGTAACGGCAGAGCTGCAGTCGTGCATCCACCGCAGCTTGGCTTTGATGTCCTGACCCTGCAGCTGTTCTCTGGCTGGGTTATTTGGGAAAGAATGATGAGCTGAGGCTGAGCAAGTCTACAAGTCAGAGAGGGATGGGAATGTTCTTGGATGTAGGAGAAAGCATCATTTGGATGGGCCATGTTTTCTGGTCTGAGCTATATTTCAAATGTGAATACCCCTCACTGTTGCTCTCTGAGCCCAAGACATGTGGTTTATAATCATGCTTCTGGAAATTAAACCCACCCAAACCCCATACTTGGTGGAAAGATGTGCCTCACTTACTGATCTGAGGAGCCTGAACAGTCTGCTTTGCTTTCATCTTGTAGGAAGCTCCATTTAGCACTTGCATTCTCTTGTCAGAGTAATCTCTTGAAGTAAAACTTTGTGAGTTACCTCTAGTGACAACTGTTTTATGAGTGCAGTTTCATATAATTAACAATTTAAGAAAATTTTTATATTTTAATTTTTATTAACAATGAAAGGAAGAAAGTTACTTCGTCATTTCTGTGGTATGTACTAAAACTCTTCACTTGAGTCTAGTTATGAGAAAAGATCAGACACACTCAGTTGAAAGATACTCTACAGCTGAAGATGAAGGAACTAAGACAACTAAATGCACCATATGATCCTGGATTGCATCCTAAATACCAGGAAAAAAAAAACTAGTTATAGAAACATTGGATTATTTGATAAAATTTAAATACAAATCATGGATTAGATAATAGTAATAAATAATGTCAATTTGTCTGACTTTGATCATTGCACTGTGGTTATATGATACTATTTTTCTACTATTTTTATTAGACAGGCAAACTGTCTTTACTCTCATATAGTTGAAGTAACACTGTATATATGTGTATACTTATAGACAAGTAAAGCAAAAGTCTTAGTGCATAATTAAGCTTTAAAAATTTTAATTTTAAATGCTGCAAGCTTATGAAAGCATCATTTGAAGTGTTATTTAAATTTCTTCTACACTTACAAGTCTTGTAAATTAAAAAACATTTTAATTACAAATTTGAATTTGGGATAGCATTAGGAGATATACCTAATGCTAAATGACGAGTTAATGGATGCAGCACACCAACATGGCACATGTATACATATGTAACAAACCTGCACGTTGTGCACATGTACCCTGAAACTTAAAGTATAATAAAAAAAAATTTTAATTCGGTCAACGTTTACCATCTTTAGAAGTATTGAAGGGTAGACAAATAGATTTAACACACGAAAATTAACATACTTTATGATTTTAAAAAATCAGTAAAGTTAAATTTTAAACAAAAAATGAGATAATAATAGATTTCTGAAGAAAAAAATTTGCTAACATCACTTAACAGAGCAATTTTTGTACATGGTCATTTGTTTCTAATCTGCATAGTTTTATTTTATATAATCACAATGATAAAACGTAGCATATTATTTTATATAAGGCTTTTAAAATTAACAGTAAACTATAAAGTATTTTGGTTTTCTATATATCACCTTAATAATTATATTTTTAAATATCTGGTGAACTGTCCTGTCCCGTTCAATGGTGTAATATCTACTTAGCTATTTTCCTATAGTTGGACATTTGGATAGCTTTAATAGTTTTTAAATAATTGACAATAGTTACCTTTTAAATACTATGTTTGTTCTCACGTTTGCTTAATTATTTCTTTAGGATGAATTCCCAGGAATGCTATTCCTGACCCTAAGTATATAAACCACCCCCTGGGTCTGAAGTGTTGTTTCCATTTATATGTGTACTAGCAGGATTTTTCATTAAACATCATGTAACTTCATTAAAAAAAACACGAATTAAGTTTTGGCTTGTGTGATATGTTTGTTATTACAGCACAAGTAATAAGTAGATTTACTATTGTGAGATGGGGAACAACTGGATTAAAAGAATGCAAGAAAAAAAGCAGCATGTGACTAGGAGTTGTATTATGATGATGAGAGGTTCCTGTTAACAGCATGAGAAAATATTCATGAACCGATGATAGAATAATAGTCACAAACAGGTACAGACAAAATATAAGTAGTATAAGAAGAAGAAGTTTAAAAAATAATAACAATTTTGATCAATATTAATTTTTATTTTAATAAAGAGTCTCCGATGGAGAATGCCATTTTGGAAGACAAAGATGGCTCCATCTTCAGCAGGAAGCCTGGGCTATGGTTTGAAAGAAAGCGAGACAATGTCATCTGGACTGTCCCATAACAGCGAGTCCCTAGAATCCCAATGCCATTCCACATTTTCCCAGGAAGTGTAAGCTCATTAAGACCTAAAATATCTTTCCCCATCCTTGTACCACTGCTATCAATCTTCATGAAAGAATCTCCCAGCTCTTCAAGATGCAGCTCATTGGCACATACAGTATATTCTCCAGGTGACAAAGAGACAACTGAGGGGGATACCTGGAAGTACCAACCACCGTTATCATGGCCAATCTTCTCAGCCGGTTAATCATGTGGTCCTTCCAGTTACCAAGGTCTTTTTAAATTTAGAGGGAGAGGGTTAGAGTAATTAGCCTTACCAGGATCATTGATCTTAAAGAGATACACTCGCTCAAATGCTTTTATTCATCTTATACAATTCGAAAAAAGCAGCTTCCAACTCCAAATCTCCTCTCTTATCTTCAGCTCAAAATAGCATTGAGTTAAGGTTAATATCAACTGGGTTTCACAGAAATGGCTTTCACACTGAATTAAACTTGAAAGGAAAGAAGTTTTATGATGAATAAATCTATGTGCCTGTTTTTTTCTGTGTTTTTTCTTATAGTTACAAATATATGTAGTTTTTAAAATGAAAAATAGGCTGGGGCTAGTGGTTCATGCCTGTAATTCTAGCACTTTGAGAGGCCAAGGCAGGAGGATTGCTTGAGCCTAGGAGCTTGACACCAGCCTAGGTAACATAGTGAGACCCCATCTCTACAAGAAAATTAAAAAAAGAAAAAATTAGGTGAGGCCTGTGCCTGTTGTCCCAGCAACTCGGGAGGCTGAGTTGGGAGGATCACTTGAGCCCAGGAGTTGAAGGTTGCAGTGAGCTATGATTGTGTCACTGTTATAGTCCAGGTGACAGAGCAAGATCCTGTCTATAAATAAATACATATAAATAAAGAAAATTTTAAAATGGTAGTATTATCTTAGTTACACATCTGCTGTTTCCTGTCCTTTTTTTATTTTTTTGAGATGGAGTCTCACTCTGTCGCCCAGGCTGGAGTGCAATGGCACGATCTCGGCTCACTGCAACTCCACCTCCCAGGTTCAAGTGATTCTCCCGCCTGAGACTCCCCAGTAGTAGGGATTACAGGTACCCGCCATCATGCCCGGCTAAATTTGTATTTTTGTAGAGACAAGGTTTCACCATGTTGGCCAGGCTGGTCTTGAACTCCTGATCTCAGGTGATCCGCTGGCCTCAGCCTCCCGAAGTGCTGAGATTACAGGCATGAGCCACCATGCCCAACCTGCTGTTTGCTGTTCTAAGTTTGGTAAAAAAGGACATTGTTGTACATCATACAATCTACTCATCAAAGATGAGCTCTATTAGAGGTAAGCCAAGAGAGTTGTCCCATTAAAAGGAAGGGAACAAGAGAAGTGTTGCAATTTAATTGTACTCATTTCTTTCTGAAGGCTTAGGTTCCTGTAATGTGTACCCTCTACTTGTTCTGGCTCTGCGAGGCTCAGCTAACTTAAAACTTCAGAGTTCTTCAAATCTTGGACCAATAACCACGAAGGTGATTACATCACAAATACTTTGCAGAATGTCTTTCACTGATTCTTTTGACAATATCCCAGGTAAGTAAGTGATAAACATTTAACCTACTAGAGTGGTTACATTTTCTAAAATAATATGGTTAGATATCATTAGAGATGGAACCTAAGTCCACACTCAATTTGTTTTAAAAATCCAGCTGTGTTTTCCTTAAAGATCCACCCCCTTTTTTTAGGTGAAACAACAATGCCTGTTTAAGTTTAGCACGTGTTCTTCTCATTTGGGTAGCCTTAGCATTTGCCACCAGAGATCCATGAAGTCTTTAAATATATTTGGTTTGCCAGATTTTTTAAGTTTCCTTTACAAAGTCAACTTTTTTTCTAAATTTATTTTATTTGCACACACCCAGCCCCATCTTCAGTTCTCCAGTGTTTTGTGTTTTATCTTTCTATCGTGATTGAAACGATACTCTAGAATGTGTATGAGATCAGTGGAGATTTTGAATTTCAGATTTCTTGACTTGGAATTCAGTTTATCTCCTTATAGCTTATGCCCATTAGGAACTCATATGCAATAATGATAGAGTTGTTCTTATAGGTAGCCCTCAGCACTGCTGTAAACTGCTGAGTGGGGTCTAAGAACTTACGTGTTGAATGCTGGATATGGAGAATGGGGAGTTCACATTAATGACTTGAATATGTTGACTGATGTAGACATTCTAGGATGACAAAGAGGAATGTTTTTTCTTGATCATATGACATTAAACTTGTGTCCTATTCAGCCACTTCCCCTTTCACTTAAAATAAACAGAGAAAGATAAAAGGCAGAGCCCAATTCCAACAGTGTTTGGAAACTGACTCTGTTTTGCTTCAAGACATAAAATCAATACAGATTTAAAAAACAAGGCAGAACCCCTAATTTACCTTTTATAAAACCAGTTACGATTTCAGAATATACTAGCTTTGGAGTCACATTTGTTTAGAAGGCTGTTCCTTGAGGTGTTGGCAGTTTGTATACTAAACATGCTGAGCTATGTTTACCTGTTTCTTGGGATACACTGAGATACAGTAGCAAGGAAGGTGACATTGGGTAGCGGGGCCACTCGGAGGTCATGATACCACTTTCTGTGCAGCCCATCTGTAAATCACAATAAACACTTCAGTGTAGCTCACTTCATAAAAATGAGTAGAGTTATTGAATAACCTGCCAGCTTCTGAAATACCCTCTTTAACTAGGCTCATGAAGGGTAATACTCTCAAGAAACAGCTAACAGGACTTTATGAAAGGCTCCTTCTTTGTCTGCAGGCCAAGTGGAAATCAGTAGTAGAAAGAGAGAAGAAAGGACACAATAAAAGTGATCCCTGCATAGTCGTGAAAGCCTTTCTCTACACAAAGAAGCAAGAAGGAAAAGGGCACAGATTGAGTGAGTGCAAACAAAGAAGTAGATAGGATTCTCAGGAAAGCATGGAATGAGATGATGGGACACATCCAGGGGACTAATGGATCCAATTTTGTGGAAGAAAAAAAAAAAAAAGAAATTTCAGGGTACACTGATCTGGTGAAAATGATAAACTTAACCTATTTACAATTTAAGAAATATAGTAGAGATAATTAGTGGCTAACTTTGAGCTTTTCTCTCTTACAAAAGAATCCTTTTTGTAAGAAGTGGTAGAGAATAACTGACCATTGCAATAGATGAGCATGATTTTGTTGATCTGACCAAATGCTGTGCCATTGGAAATTTTAAAATAATTAGACTAATATAATTATAGGGAATTTGGGGAATATCAGAAGATTTAAAAATCTGACATTCCAAAGAGAAGGCGAAGAATCCTGGAAATTAAGTGTTTGACAGTAACTATCATTAAGAGAGTCAAGCAAAGTATTAATAATTTTTCATGGGAAATGGCAGGCTGTCCTTTAAAGCAACTCAACTTACCTTAGAGAATGTAGTATTACTAGGTGAATAAAAGGCCTCATTCATATAATTCATATAATATCAGTAAAATAATTGCTAATGTCTTCAGAATTTTATTTTCTTCCCAATAACCATGAATGTTCTGACAAGTAGTTACTGAATTTCAATTCTATGTTAAACACTACTCAAAATGTTGCAGGGTTTATAAAAACAGGTAAAAACATTGTATTGCCTTCCTTCAAGGAGCTTAAAATATTGAGTATGTGTATCTATATCTATACTGCCTTTTTTGTTTTTTTCTTTTTTGAGACAGCATCTCACTCTGTCATCCAGGCTAGAGTACAGTGGCACAATCACGGCTTACTGCAGTTTCAGTCTTCTGGGCTCAAGCAGTCCTCCTGCCTCAGCTTCCCAAGTAGCTGGGACTACAGGCAAGTGCCTCAACAGGCCAGGCTATTTTTTTTCATATTTTTTAGAGATAAGGTCTTGCTATGTTGCCTAGGCTAGTCATGAACCCCTGGCCTCAAGCAATTCTCCTACCTTAGACTCCCAAAGTGTTGGGATCAAAGGCATGAGCCACTGTGATCGGCCTATATTATCTTTACCTAGCTACATATAGGTATGCAATTTTGCATATAAACAAATACTTGTATTTACATAAAGTTTAAACAATGAAGAAAACATATATAATAGACCTTATTCTTGCTCATTTATTGCTTCTTTTAACTGTGCTAAGTGTTGGAAACAGAAGGATGTGTAAACATTTGTCTTCATCAGGTAGGAGTATACAACCTAGGAAGGGGAAAAATAAGACCTAAAAATAAATGGCTATAAAGCTATATCCTACATATTAAGTAAACCAATGAACAAAAGATAAAACAGTCTTACCTAGGGGCATCAAATAACTTTCAAAGAAGCCTCCTAAAGACATTTCAGTAAAGAAGTTGCAGAGGTGGGAAGAAGAAGCCTTCAAGGCAGATGGGATAGCATGATGACATGCATGAAAGCCGGGAAGCAAATACATATGTTATGAAATGTGTAGATAGTACAGTTGGGGAAGCATAGAGTATACTATATAGTGGTTGGAGAGGAGTCCAGAAAGATACATGAGAAAGCTCAGGGTGTGCTATTATAGAGTCTGAACAATATGTCATGGGCAATGAGAAACCATCATTTTTGTTTAATTAGTTTTTATCATATTTTAATACATTTTGTATTTATTATATTGATTTAATTTATATTATAAATTACTTTTACTTAGTAATTTAAAAGTTTCTATAGGTAATATACATGCTTGGTTTAAATTGCAGAAGACAACTTTATCAAATATACCCATTCTTCTACTTATTAAAACAGTGCCTGCTGATGCTCAGCTACAAGAGACAGCAAAATAAACATCCACCTTCCCTTCCTTTCTTCCAACAACTGATTTCAGTTATTAACTGTTTTATATACTTTAATTTTTTCCCTGTCTACCTTGGTATCTAAGTATACCTACACATTTATAACATGCAATTTCAGATTTAAATTAGGCCTTTTGATATCCTGCAATTAAAAGTTGAGGTAATCAAACATATTTACCTTACCTCTCCCTTTGTCTCCTTTTTCCTTCCATTTGTGTTAGGTGTATCATTTCCATACTGTCATTTCCTGTAACACTTTGCTTTCTGCAATCATGGTCCTCACTTTTGTTTTTGTCTTTCTTCCACGGCTGAATGTGTTCACTGCTTACCTTGGGTATTTTAGCTTCATTTATCTGCTCATCCTTGGGTTGAATGGTTAAAGCTTAAGATCAAGTTTCCTTTCTCTAAAGGCATGGTAGGTACAGATCCACTGTCTTTTAGCATTTGTTGTAGAGCTACCCAGCCTGAGCCACCCAGCCCTACTCCCATCTCTTATAGCAGACATTATTTGGTGCATGGTTTGATATGCAAAAGATTATTTCTTTAATTTTAAAATCCAGTATATTTACCAAGACACAAGGAACTTTTCAAAACTATAAATGTCACAATTTTTTTTAGGTCTAAAAAGTTTTTTTGATTTATTTGAATAGGTTTTGACCCATTTATTTAACTCTCATCTTCCTGGTTATCAGTATATATTGAATCAAATTCATCTTTCTTCCAGATCTGTCATTTCTTCTCTCATTATTTAAACTTTTTTAGTTTTATTTCTTTGTATTTCAATTTCATTTAGACATTTTTCTTATTTGTCATTCCTGTCCTTTGTTTTCAGTAATGCTAATTCTCATCTTTACTGCTTTCAATGTGCCATTTATGTTGTAATGGTTACATTTCTCTCTTTCACTAGTTTCTTTTCTGAGCTTTGATTTGGTCAGGTGCTTAGTGGGAAATAGAATTCTGATATATTGGTGATAAAGTATTTTGGGTAACAATTTCATGAAAGGGACTTCAGAATGAGCCTTAAGTGAGAAAAGTTATTTTCCAAGTAAATATTCACAAAAGCCCCTAGCAGCAGGGAAAGATAGGAGAAAGCAGGTGAAAAAAAAATGCCTAATGCATAACATTCCCTTTTCATTAGCAGCCACAAGGCTTGCTCAGGAAGCTCATGGGGACAGGGATGGAGATTATACAAAGGCTCAACAGCATGGACTTCTCTTCAAAGATGACTTGAATACTGCCAATGCTGGATGCCCAATTTTGCAGTGGTGTGACCAATTCTGAGCCCTGTTATTATACTAAATACAGGAGAACCAACCAACCTACCAGTAGTAGGATGAATACATTGGAATCTTTCTAATTTATCTTAACTGTGACAGATATAGGACCTGGATTTAGAATTGTCTTCTCTACTAGCCATATTTCTATGACAATATAAGTCTGGACTGAGTAAATACCCTATGCAACAACATTGCCTCAGACCAAAAACCTGATTTTACAGTAACAGAATTGAAGCCATGGGCTTATACTCATGGAATTTAGAGGTCCTATGATGATCACCCATGATCCAGAAATATTTTTTGGTGCAAAAATAATTGCAGTTTTTGCCATTATTTTTAAATAACAAAAACCTCAATTACTTTTGCACCAGCCTAATAGTTGGTCTTACAGAAAATAATGTTTTAATAACTGAAGGTACTAGTAGGAGACAGAACTGGTGCTGCGTCCCTAATAGCCAGCATTCATGAATTCAGAAGTGAGGGGTGGAAGAGGGAAGGCCACTTTACACCATTTTACCATAGCATATTCGTGAGATTGTGCTTTCCTTACTCTATCTCTAGTTTCTGCTGGTTCAGTGGTCTTAGTAGCCATTGTAGAAATGCTCCCTCCATGGGGTTCCATAATAGTTCCATTGAAATTTCAAGCTTCTGGGGACATCGTGTGAGCAGGGGTAAAAATGATCTTTGTGGGGTTATTAATTCTGGTTTTCAAGAAACAGTGGGGTTGTTGATATATACTAGGTGTGAGAATAGGAGTAGAGAAATTTTTTCTGAAAACTCAGGAGATCTTCTGGTATGTTTTCTGCTTTTGCCATGTGCAAGGGTAAATGTTAATGGAAAACTAAAGCAACTTCATACAGATAAAGCCACGAAGAATTATAATCGTTCAAGGATGAAATTTAGGCCATCCACCTGGAGAAGAGTAAAGAACATCTAAAGTGTTGACAGAGAGCAAAATGAACATAGAAATGTAGTGGATAAAATAATAAATACCATTCAAGGCTGCTTGAACTAGAGCAGAAATTAAAGCAATACTTATCCATAACTGCTTACTGATTTTGTAATTAATATTTAAATGATTCCCTTATTTTCTTCTATTGTTTATAGAATATACTTACATTAGGTAACTGTAAAATTTAGCACATAGGTTATATTACTCTACCAATTTAGTCAATAGGATTGTGGTAGAACTGAAGGAGAAAGGATATCACTTAAGATACCAGTCTTAGAAGACGAAAATGCAACTAAGTCTTTGGTCTGTCTCATTTATGATGAATCGCTGTTTTATGTTTGTTGGGGCAGAGTGGTAGTGTTATTTGTAATTGAAATATAGATGAAGGGTGCACATTGTCCATGTGGTTGGGTGATTATGGAATCATGTGGATAAGTGTCTATCACATTTGTTAGAAAAGTCAGTCCCCTGCATGCAGTCTTTTGACCTCCACAAAGCTGCATGAGAATGGGCCTTGGCCTGGGACACTTCCTTACCAAGAGATAAAGCATCCTCACAGCCTGTGCTGCACTTTTCATCTTATATGGAAAAACTGTTCCCTATTTTGGGCTCAGTGTGTATTTTTTGTTCCACTTCAGTATCTGCATCATATAGCTCCTGGCCAACCCCACTGCTTTATGAGTTCTCTGTGAGGAGGAGACAGGATCCTTCTTTTGCAGCTCAAGATGGATGTATACAGCTCAATTGCCCTGTTTTGGTAGCTGGAAGAAACCTACTGGCCATGGGGGACCAATGCCTCCCACTGAAGCCAATCTTGCTCTGTCTCTTCCATATGTGAGTAAAGCATTGTTCCATCCAGTGCTTCACTGTGTTGTTTTACTTAGTGACTCTGACAACAAGATGTAGTGGGCAGATGTGCTTGGACCTCTGCTTCTCATAATAGGCAACAGATGAATTCTTCATTTGTAACATTTGTGTGTGTCAGAATATTTGGTATACTACTTCTACATTTTAGTTATTTCCTGCAATGCAAGCCTCATCTTCTCCAGGTCGACACCTGAACACTCACTTGTGCAGTTGACTTCTGGTTGGGGTCGTAGTATGCACTCTAGGCTCTGTCCAACAGATGCCTCTTCTTGGGGTTCGTTTCTGGAAAGGGTGGTGTGAGGAGGGAAGTAATGTTTTATCATTGGGGCAACTGGAGATTGGCAGAGAGTTATAGAGCCTTTAGAGGCAGTTCTAGCTGAGATCCTGTGGACACACACTTTGCTCAGTATTTTGGCTTCAGGATTTAGTGCTCAGTGTTCATGCTGGGTACTATGTAACAGCAGCAGTGGTAGAATCAAGTCTGGGAGCTAACCAGTGGTGCAGCTTTTATCCTGTTTTGTCTCTGTATTCTCAGAGCTGAAATCTCAGTCTCTGAGACTATGGGGATTTTAAGGGCAATGGTATATGCTGTAATAAGCTCCTTTTTGCTTCAGCTTGCAAGAGTGGGTTCTGTCGTTTGCAACCAAGAATACTGACCACTTCACCAAGAAATATCAGGTTTTAACAAGTTCACCAGGTGATTCTTATATGTAGTCTGTACAAAATAGGCATAGGGGAATATCTTTGGGGATTCACTAATTTTGGAAAAAGAAAAAGACAGAGAGACACAAAGTTACAGACCTAGTCAGTGGCAGGTTTTAGGATTTTGGCTCCGAAGTCTATCTTGAACTACTATACCATATTGCTATAGAATTGAGGTAAGAGGTCATTTTAGAGAAACCTAGTGAAAGGTACAACACAGTTGTAGTATATTGATACGGTTTGAATATTTGTGTCCCCCCAAATTTATATCCTAACCCATAGGCAATGGTATTAGGAGGTAGGGCCATTTTGGAAGTGATTAGATTATGAGGATGAAGCCCTCATAAATGGTATTATCATCCTTAAAAAAAAAAAGGTCCCAGAGAGCCACCCTGCCCTCTCTGTCATGTAAAGACACAGCAAGAAAGTGCTATATATGAGAAAGTGGCCTCCACCACACTGAATCTTCTGGCACCTTGATCTTACACTTCCCAGCCTCCAGAACTGTGAGAAATAAATTTCTATTGTTTATAATCTACCTGGTTTATGGTATTTGTTAGAGCAGTCTAAATAGATTAAGGCCAATACATTAATAAGCATTCAGCTTACTTACATTCAGCTTGAAGATGACTCTATGTCACAGAGCAAGGAGAGGAGATGAAAAGAAATTAATGTTCCAGGGAAGATGGAACTTTGAATTGATGAAGAAGATGGGTATGAAAATGGAGTTTGTATAAGGAGCCAATAGGTGAACATGTGGTATCCATCTATGTAATAACTAATTTAACCTTGCCCCAAAATAGGCCTGACCTCTGCCTTAGAGATTACAAGGTAATCTCTACTCATTGCAGTAGCATGCCTAATAGGTGTGTCTGATTGTCTGGGGGCCTTGGGTCACACTGGATTGTCTAGCAATGTGATTTAGGGTGAGGTCCTTAGGCCAAGCCAGATGGTAGCAATGTGACTTAGGGTGGGGAGTTTTGGAACACACAATCTCAGCCAACCTGGAGATAAAGATCAACTATGTAGGCAATCAATCAATCAATCATGCCTAAGCTGTGAGGCCCTACTAAAGGCCCTGGTTGCTGTGGCTCAGGTGTGTATCAGGTGTGGCATAGGTCAACAATACTCTATGCATGTTATCCCACATTATGGCTAGGAAGAATTAACACTGTCCTGACTCCACAGTCAGGACTGGAAACTCCACATTTGGATGCCTCCTGGACTCTGCAGTATGTGTCTCTCCCTTGGCTGATTTTAATCTGCATTCTTTCACTGTGAAACCGTATGTAACCATGAGTGTAATGGCTTGCAGTGAATTCTGCGAGTGCTTTTAGCAAATTATCACATCTGAGGGTAGTTTTGGGAACCACCGTGCTCAAGTTACAATTGGTGTCAGAAGTGAGAGTGGTCTTATGTTGGCTGTGTGCTCTCTAACTTGGTCTGAACTCACACACAAGTATAATAGTGAGGAAAAGGAGCTAGCATCTGTGTGTGGCTGTGTGCTCTTGCATCAGTACTGAACTCTGTGTTCAAATGGTCTCACTTAATCATCCTGACTAACCTGACCTTCACTATTCAAATGAAAGAACCATGGCTCAGAAAAGTTTTGTGACTTGCCTAAAGATAAAGATTCAGGGAATATATTAAGACCTCCAATTTTTTGATAGTAAAAGTAAAACTTCATCCTAGAATCAAGAGTGAATTAGGTCACATCAGGGGTGAAAGATCGGCTCTAACAAGTGCAATATGTAACAGTGAATCTGGACTTGGTTTTTCCTCAAGTGTGTACTTTAGCCCTAATTTATCTAAAACTCTACCTTCAGTTTGTGGAGCTCAGTAAATATGTATTGGAAACCTACTAAGTTTTAACCATTGTACATTTATTGCACTTATACAGGGAACAAAGATGTATCATACCTGTCCTAATGCCATACTGAAGACACATTAAACAGGAACCAAAGGGAAATATAACACAGGTATAAAATTGTAATATTGATCATTGCTCTAAGGAAAAGCTTCAAGCTGCTAGGATTTTATATAGGGAGGTCAGAAAAATCTTCATGAACAAGGGATATTTAAGCTGAGAATTAAAGAGTGAATCGATGCTAGTCAGGAGAGGTGAAAGCGTATGAATACTCTAGGCAGAAAGAAGAAAAACACAAGTGCAAGGATCTTGGCATGTTTCAGAAACCAAAGGCAATGTGATTAAACCATGAAGACAGGGAGACAGCAGGGCAAGGTCAGATCATTGCAAGCTATAATCAAGACTGTGGAATTCATAGATAGGCTAGTATCTGGATTTTAGATGTGATGGAAAACCAGGGTACAACCAAAGAAGGTGAGTGAATGGGCAAAAAATAAAATAAAGGGTCAAGTTTATCCGTGGGAGGTCTTGGGTAGCACTGAAGATCAATCTTAGATGTCTCAGTAGACAAAGTGTAGTATTATACCTCAGGGATTCTCACTGTTTTATTTTCTACAATTTTCCTGGAAATTTTGGTGCATATTATTTATGTAACCCAATAAAACTACTTTTTTTAATGGCTCTAACTGAAGATTTCCTAAAGGGGTCATATGGAAAAAAACAAACAAAAAAATGCATGCACTTCAGTGTATCTCTCATATCAGTAGGTTAGAATGTCTTGCAAACAAAATTAAATTAAAATTTCAGACCATTCCTGCAGAATATAAGTGACCATTTTCAATGGGAGAAAACAAGAGAAGCCATCCTAACAAATTATTTAAAGTTCAGCTTGTTATTTCAACAGCTCTTAATGTGTTTGCCATGTACATATATTTAGTATGTCTGAAAGTCGCTGTAGTCTGAGGAATACAGCACTTGTGCTGAGGGTTGTAGACTTTCTATCTAAAGGCTCAATTGTTGGCAACCCAATTTTCTTTTAGACTTATTCTGTTTGTTTTGTTCAGTTCTAGTAGCTCAGCCTGAGTCTGATAAATAATTTAAGAATTCTGACTCAAATCACTAGAACACATCTTTCTAAATCATCAACATTTTATGTTTTCAAAGAGACCAAAGCAGCCCCAGCTCCCTGTCTTCATTCTAAACGAATTTCCAAGAACTTCCAGTTTAAGATGGCTGACAGAGTACATGATGTTATACCTCCTTATGGCTTAAAGCCCAGTGAAGTGACAGAGAAAGGAAAAAATAAAAGCACAGATTCACAGAGGCATTAGGAACGTAGGAAGCTGTCCAGCAGCAGACCATGGCATTTAAGAACCTATGCTATGGATGCTACAAATTCCTGTAATTGAGAACATAATTTTTTTTTTTTAAAAAAGAGCATGTCAACATGGAAACAATAAGAGAGGGGCTCCAAAAAGGGTAGTTTCCCTAAGACAAAGTCAGCAGGGGTAGGCTGTAGGAGTGAGCTGTGTGGAAATCATCAGTGCTATCAATTGAAATCAAAGGGCTCTGACATAGCATATCCTGACCAGTCTTTGTCATAAGAGCTGACTGTGGAATTTGCCGTCCCATATAGAGCTTTCTTACTGCAGCAAAAGAAAGAGGCAGAACAGTTCCAGGTAACAACAAAGGACAAGAAACACCTTCTTTCTGAGGACAAAGTCCTCCCTCATGCACAAAAAAGAACAGTTCTTGTGGCTACGTGTCTACCCATCTCTTCACTGTAGCCATAGCATAGCTTCTGTAATCAATCCCAATATCCTGTGGGAGACAGTGAATTCACTGCCACCTTTAGACCTCAGATAAGCAAAATTGTATCCATTAAAATCATTCCATTGTTGATCCACGCATGACTTCCTTTAGTTACTTTTAATAATGTTATAGCCATCCATGAATCTATCAACTATAATAGAAACTAGGATCTTGATAATGATGATATCTTTTCTCATCCCTCTGCCAACCCTCACCTGAGAAGGTGATCATCTTGAATTCCATATTCATCCTTCTCCTGCTTTCCTTTTTACACATTTATTTTATATGTAGGAATTGCTAAAATTATATATTACATATATTATTTGTACTTACATTTAATTTTATAAAAATGGGTATCATACTGCATATAATCCTTCCAGAATTGCTTTTTACTTAATATTATACTGCTAAATTTCATCCCTCTTTTTGCACATCCCCGTGGTTACTCATCCTCATTGCTTGTGATATTTTATGGTGTGCATGTACCATATTTTAGCCACCCACTGTCCTGCTGGTGAGCATTTGGGCTGTTTCCAAATTTCGAATAATGTGAACAGTACTGCTATAAATATTCCAGGTCATGTCTCCTGTGTTCACATGCAAGAGTTTCTCTTGGGTATATTCCGAGCCACAGAATTGCCAGGCCAAAACATGGGGACTCTAAAGGGGAATATCCAACTATTTCCCAAAGTAGTTCACCGAATTTATACTCCCTCCAGCAATATATCTTGTATATCTGAATGTCTTCATTCAGTCGATGCACTTCTCTCCAATACTTCATATTGTCAGATTTTTATTTTTTGTCGATTAAATCATATAAACTGTTCATGGTCATTAATGGCATTTCTCTCATCACTAATTATGCTGACTGTCTCATCACAGGTTTGCTTCTCTGTAAGATGGCTATTCTCACTCTCCATACCACCCCTTCTTTTTTTTATTGGTTTGCTGGTATTTTTCCAGTTATTTTTTATGAGTTTTTAAAATGTATTCTTGATATTAGTCTTTTCATTTTATGTAATACAGGTATCCTTCCCAGTTTGAAACTATTTTTTCCATATTCTTTTAAGAACTCTTGTGATGAATAAAAAAATCCTGATTTAAAGATAACCAAATTTATTGATGTTTTATTTATTTAAGAATTGTTTTCCTACCTCAATTTCTAAACTGTATTCATCTACATTTTCTGCTAAGAGCTTTATATCCTTTAACATCCATCTGGAATTGATTTTTATTAAATCTTTTATGAGATTAGAAAACAAATTTATTTTTTATGTGATTCTCTTTTTACCACATCTTTTTATCAAAAGTTTCCCTTTTATACTCTTGTCTGATATGACCCCTCTATCATACCCCAATGTGTCATAAATGTGTGGGTCTGCTTCTGATTCCAAGGTGAATTTCTCTTTGTTATACCAACACCATGCTATCTTTATTACTGCAGCTTCATGCTGAGTATTGATACCTGGCAAGGCAAGTTCCTCCTCTCTGCTCTTATTAAAAGTATCCTGGCTCTTATTTTTGGCCCATTACTCCACTAAATACATATTAGAAATATCAAGTTAAAAAAAAAACCCTTGTTACAGTTTGAGGGGGATTACATTGAACCTAAGGATGAATTTTGAGAGACTTAACATCTCTGTGATATTCCTGTCTTAACTTGGTATGTTGTTTTCTTTTCCTCTTATTTATATCATCTTTGCTATGTCTAATAAATCTATATTTTTTCTATAAAGGTTTTAATTTTTTGTTTTATTTCTTAATATGGGATTTTCCCTGATATTACTAAAAATTGTGTCTTCTTTTCAATTGCCTTTTCCAGTTTATGTCTGCTGTCCAGGAATGCAACTGCTTTTATATATTAATGTAGACATTTTGCTAAACTCTTCAATTATTTCTAAAATAATTTCCCTGTATTATTTTAGCTATTCTATGTAAACAGTCATATCATCTTCAAATGATGACAGTTTTACTTTTTTCTATTCAAAAATTTATAATTTTCTTATTTTTCTTTTCTTTTCTTAATTCTTATACCGGCTAGTATTTCTACTAAAATATTAATTAGAAGTGGTGATAATGGGTCCTCTTGTCTCAGTCTCTACTACGAAAAGAATGATTCTTAATTTTTTTCCATTTAGAATTATATTTAGCAGTATATTTTATTCTGAATAAGTGTTGACATTTATTAATTTTTTTTATTTCTATTGAAATTATCATATGGTGTTTCTCTTTCAATTTGTTAACACAATGAACTTCATTTATAAAGATTTAAAAGTAAAATTATCTTTGCCTATCCAGAATAGAACCAATTTGGATGTGGATGTAAATGTTTGTACTTTTTTCTTTTCTTTGCCTTGGAAGATTGATAAGAATTCATTTTAAACTATCTTGGCTTAGTGATTCTTTAACTGCTACAATTCTTAGTAGTTATAGGACTAATGAAGCTTTTTATTTCTTTTTCACTGAGTCCTGATGTTATATTTTTTCCTAAGTATTTGTCTACATTACTCAATTAGGGTTCACCATAAAAAGAGAAACAACAGGGTGTGTGTGTATGTTTGTGTGATAATTATGAAGGCTTGCAAGTCCTAAGATTTGCAAAGAAAGACAGAAATCTGGAGACACAGGAAGGCTGATGGTGTAGTTACAGTCCAAATCTGAAGGCCTGAGAACCAGGAGAGCCCATGGTGTAGGTCCTGTCTAAATGCTGGCAGGCCTGAGAGCTAGAAAGACTTGATGTTTCAGTTCAAATCCAAAGGCAGGAAAAAGCTGATATTCCATTTTGGAAGCAATCAGGCAGGAGGAATTCCTTTTTGGTTGGGGACATCAGCCTTTTTATTCTATTTAGGCCTTCAACTGATTGAATAAGGCCCACCCATCTGCTTTATTCAGTCTGTTTATTTAAATGTTAATCACATCCAGAAACATCCTTGTAGAAACAAACAGGATAATGTTTGACCAAATATTTGGGCACCTTATGGCCCAGTCAACTTGACATAAAATTAACTATCACAGTCACTTAAGTTTTTAATTAAATCACAATATTATTGATGGCATATTATTTTATTTTCTTCTAAGTTTATACTCTATATATGAGCGTCAGGGTTTTTAAAAATAATGTTATTTAGTTTTGTCTTCTGTATCTCTAGATTATTTCTGCCAGAAGCATCTATTTTAATTTTTTCAAAGAACCAACTCATTGTTTTATCTTTACCATTGTATTTGTGTATGCTATTTTTATTAATTTTTATTCTTATTAATCTGCTTATTATGATAATGATAATTTTCTATTGCTAACTTCTTAGGATAGGTATTTACGCATTAATTTTTAACTTTTCTTGTTTTATTATGTACGTACTTAAGGCCGTAAATATCCCATGGTACATAATTTTTGCTAACTTTCATAGGTGTTAGTACAGGATATTATTTTTCATCATGATTTAATTATAAGTATGTTTAAATTTTTATCATAATTTCTTGCACATCCATGGATTTTAAAATTACTGTGAAGGTTCTTAGAAAATATTTTTGTTATTAAAGTTTAGCCTAATTATATTTTGACCAGAGATTGTGATCTGAAGAATACCTATTCTTTGAAGTTTATTGAGGCTTTCTTTATGGCTTTGTACATAACCAATATTTGAATATGTGAATGAAAATAAGTATGTTCTCCAATTGTTGTATAGAACTCTACATGTAGTCATTAAGTTGAAAGTTTCTATTGTGTTTTCCATATCTTCTATGTCCTTATTAGCTTTCTGTCTTATTGACTTGTCAATCAAAAGAGGTGTTTTTTATTTTCCTATTAAAGTAGAGGACTTATGTTTCTTTTTGTAGTTCCATTGCTTTTTTGCTTTATGTGTTTTAAAGCAATTTTATTAAATGTTTACATCTTTTAAATTGTTATATTTTGGTTACTGAGTTGAACCCTTTATTTTCTATTTGTGATCCCATCAATCTCTAATAAATTGTGTTTCTTTGTGTTTGTTTTAATTTTATTTCATATTAATATAGTCATCCTAGCTTTCCTTTGGTTATCATAGCATTTGATTGATATTAATTTTTTCTATGCTTTTAGTTTCAACATTTTGTGTCTGTGGTGATTTAAAAATATGTATTGTTAAATCAGACTAAGTATGGCCTAAGAAAGACTTCATTCTATATGTGAGTCCTTGTGGATGAACTGCAACCTAACTTAATAGGGAGACAGGATTGAAAACCTAACTTAGGAGTATGCACCTGTAACCATAGCTGAGTCTTGGCCAATCCCAGAAGCCGTACTTCAACCACTCCTACACTGCTGAGTGTTCAAACTGTTTTCAAATAAGGCAAACACCTTATTTGCCTGTAACCAATTCAGTTGTAATCAATTCAGTTGTTTCTGCACCTCACTTCTGATTTCTGTATGTCATTTACATTTTTTTGTCCATAAATGTGTTCTGACCACGAGGCATCCCTGGAGTCTCTCTGAATCTGCTGTGATTCTGGGGGCTGCCAGATGAGTGAATCGTTCATTGCTCAATTAAACTCCTTTAAATTTAATTCAGCTGAAGTTTTTCTTTTAACAGTATCTTCAAATTCTTAGTGTTCTTTCTTCATGAGATGAAGCTTAATTTGTTTCCCCTTGACTGTGGGCTGCTCTTAGTTACTCACTTCTAATGAACACAATTCCACAGGAATGCTGGTATGTCAATAAAATAATCCCTCCGGTCAAAGCTTCACTCTATGCTTTCCTGAAAGAAGCAGCCTTAGGAGGAGACTCTGCTTAGTCTTGTGTATTTAAAAGAGAAAGAGGTCAGATTCATTGCCTGAGATTAGCTAGTTCAGTGCTTCTCAAACTTCAGGGTGCATAAGAGTCACCTGGAGGTCTTGGTAAACCATAGAGTCCTGGGCCACATCCCCGGAGTTTCTGATTTAGTGATGCAGAGGTGGGGCTGAGAATTTGCGTTTTTTACAAGCTCTCAGATGATACTGATGATTGACAGCTGTCAGTACTGTAGTACTTAATTAGTCTCAACCTGTTTTCCCAGCACAACCACTGTGCTTCTGAGCTGTCCTGAGTTTACTCTGGAAGACACCTGGACCAGAGTTTTGACTAATTACAGGTATAGATTAGGGTTGCCCAATAAAATGCAGGGCATCCAGTTAAATTTGAATTTCAGTAGCACACTTAACACTAAAGAAAACTTTGTTGGTTATCTGAAATTCAAATTTAATTGGCTATACTGTATTTTGATTTGCTAAATCTGAAAACGCTAGTGTAAATACAGGCATTGTTTATCCCAGTGGTTCTCAAGCATTAGTGGGTATTGGAATCTTCTGGAGAACTTGTTAAAACAGATTTATGGGCTCTATCCTATTTCAGTTTCTGGCTCAGTTTATCTGGGATAGGACCCAATAATTTGTTTCCTCACAAGTTCCCAGGTGATGTGGATTCCACTGGCCTGGGGCCAAACTTTGAGAACTATTAGTTGATCACAAAGCAAAGATTGAAGATAATCAAGAAAAGTCTTGTTCTTTATCCTCCAATAAAACCACTACACAACACAAACAATTGTGCACCCTAGGGGTTTTTGATGTATTTTTGATACAGACAGGAGAGAGGGAAATACTGGGTAGAAGTGGGCAGTTCCCTGGCAAAGGCCCCACCCTCAAGCTTGGATACCTGCTGCCCTAAATGAGGACAAGCATTCCTGTTTTTGTGCCCAAAAGTTGCCTTTTGGCCTGCCATGTCTCCTATCCTGTACCCATATAAACTCCAAACTCCAAACCCCAGACTCCAGAAGCCAACTAGGCAACAAACAGGAGATGAGCAGGCAAATGGCAGAGGAGTGCAGCAGAGAAGGAGAGAAGGAATGTCAGGAGGACTTTGGGGACAGTTGGAGAATTGGCCGCTGGATGGCCAAACTCCAGGGGAAGATCATCTTCCCACTCCATCCCCTGTCCAGCTCCCCATCCATCCCACTGAGAGCCACCTCCACTACCCAATAAAACCATGCATTCACCATCCTTCAAGTCCGTGTGTGACCCAATTCTTCTGGGATGCTGCACAAGAGCTCAGGATGCAAAAAGCTGTTATACTGGCCCTCTGCCCTTGTAGTGTTAAGTGCTATCCAGCTTAACACTTAATCCATGGACAACAAGCCTAAAAGAGCACACTGTAACACATGCCCACTAGGGCTCCTGCGCCCGTCCATCTGAGTGCTTACCCTCCCATAAGGGGTTTGAGCAGCGGTGGCAACCACACAGACGAGCCACACTGCTGTCAAATGTCCTGTGAGGGTGATCAGAGAACTCTCCCATTTCATCTTATTGTTCTCCTATACTTTCTTTGGGGTTGTTTTTGGAGGGAGAGAGCTAGAACTTTTGCTAGTTTAACATCTTGGTAAGAACTTGAGCTACAGAACAGTGATTTTATTTTAACCTGTGGTGAGAAATTTGTCCCTGAATGGCAGCAACAAAATTCTCTTAAAAATAGGTATACTAATTTATATAAGTATATACCAATAAGAATTACATTTTAGAAATATTACAATTAAGAATTTAGTGCACCTGGAATGGATTTTATGTATTGTATGCATTAGCAAACTTTGTTGGATATCTTATATTTGCCCCTCTCTACCAGTTCTCCTTTCTGCACCCTACTCTCTGACCAGAAATATTCATCTTTATGGTGTTCAACAAAGATAGTACGTGATATCTGTCTTCTGGTTTGCTTCAGACAGTAAGGAACTGAAGGAAATTGGAAGGAGAGAGGGAAGTAATATTGGGGTATCTTCTTGAAGTGTTGCCTGTGGCTAGTTGTATCTCTTGGTTAAAAGGGAGAGTGAATGTCAGTCACCCTCCCTACACAACAGCTCTACTTTCAATTCTGGTAACCTTGCTCACCCTTGTCTTCCTTCAGTCCATGAGTAGTAAAAGTTCTACTGTTTCTAGTCCTGGTATATGACAACCTTTGTGGTTTGAGTGTAGTATATACCCTGCCTTCACCTCTATAAACAGCCCTTTTATTAAACCTTCTTCAAAGTATTCTAATATGCATGTGCCATTTATTTCCTGCTGGACCAAAGTAACCCCTTTTAATTTTTACACATGGAAAACCATTTTTTTTCTAATACCATTTATTGAATACGCTATCATTTCCCTATTAAAAATGTTTTTCTATTATATACATATATTTTTATACATTTATGAGTCTGTTTTTAAGCTAATTTTCTTTTAACTTTATTCATATTAATGAAAAAGGCTCTCCATAAGACCTGAGAGTCTGTATTTTAAACAAATTCCACAGGAAGTTCTTATGCACACTAGATTTTGAGAACTAGCTTAGATTTTGTACTAATTCAGTAAATTTGGTAAATTGTTAGCAGAGAAATACTTATCAAGAAAACTTTATAGAAAACAATATAGTTTTCTAATTATCCCACAAAAGAGGCTTATTTTCTCCACTTCTCTTATGAGCCATTTTGGAAGGTTGGGAAGGTGAATAAATCTTTAATGGATACCTTGCACATGGTTTACAGCTATTGTTTATCATGCAGACAAACTAATCGTCCAGCATGTAAGTGAAAGATAGCCAAAAGAATATACAAGTGTTTGAGTATGTAGAAAATTGTATTACTTCAATTCAGCTTAACTAGAAAAGCACTTGATTTCTTCTAGGTTACCTGCATTTACTTGAAAAATTGCTATTTATTTTTTACTTATACCTGTTTTTCAAGGATTAATAATTAGTGACAAATAATCATGCTATTTCAACAATCATTAAATGTACAGAAATTACATATCAGAAATATACACTAGACTCAATTAATGCCCCTTTTCAAAGCTTTAACACTGGTTTATGTAACCAAACCTTAAGGTACTATTTTTCACGTGGAGTGAACACCCAAATTTCAGACAAAAGAATCAAGAACGAATATTCGTCCTCTAGCCATGTCGCCTCCAGAATGGAGTACATGCTCCCAGGTTACAAAATATGATCTTCTGTATGGGAGTCTACGAAGTAGATAGAACTTCTATTCATATTTATTTTTAATGGAATTATTTACAATTTTTTAATTTTTTGTTAAATTTTGTAACATCCATAATATTGGTAGCAAGTGACAGCAAATATATCACTTTATACCTTAATAAACTTACATATATCAGAGGTGTATTCTCTCACATTTTTCATTAAGCGTAATTGAAGTTCACGTAAGTTCTGAGATTCCTGCTCTGAAGACTTGCTACTCTAATTGGAACCAGCCAACCACAAGCAACAACTTCACCTAGGAGACTGTTTGATTTGCTGAATCAGAATCTGCATTTTCACTAGATTCTCAGGTGATTTCTTCGCTCAGTGTATTTTTAGAAAAACAAAGGGCTGGCCTTGTACATCCTTTCCAATTTAAATTACAGGATCCTTTGAAGAAAGGAGAAAATAAAATATTTGTCATACTGATTTAATTATTTTACTAGGGAAGAGACAAATTTTATTTTTTCCCTCCTAGCTTTTAGCTCTGAACAGCCAAAGGAGAGGTGGCCTATCTTCCTGGTAGCAGGCTTTTTTCCTCCCCTTGTTCTTGTTTTCTTTACCTTGTTGTTATGGTTTTTCCTCTGAGTTATAATATTTCTTTAAAAAATATTCCCTGTGGAAAAATATGTCTACTCAGGACTATTTTGCTCTGCAGAAACTAAAGACTACCTGGTTTTTCTGAGATCTATTTGACTCTTGTCTTCAACATCAAAATATCATACTAGATGGTAACTCTGGATTCTTTCCTCAAATCTACCTTCTATAACATAATCTCTTAGCCTTTCTAAAACTAGATTTCAGGTGATTATTCTATTTGAAAACTCTTTTTAAACATTAGTTTCCAATTTTGTTTTCAAGCATTCCATCACTAAACATTATTGGATATGAATCCCTCAAATGTTACATTTATATTTTATATGAATATCTATGAAGCATGCCCATGAGTCACAATCTTAAACTATAATTAGCATATTGGTATATTGCATAATGTGTCATATAAAAGCATGGGAATAGTATGAAAATAGTATTTTAGTATGTCTTACTAATCATAATGAATCTATACTGTTATTAGCCGATAGCTTATAACAAAATACACACTTAGAACAAAGTTCATTCTTAATAATAAATGTAGACATTTTAGAGGACCTTCTTGATGATGTCGAGCATTTTAGCTGATGCCTTGTCAAAACTGATTACATTGTCGTTATGTTTTTCTTCATCATGTGGCTGATGAAAAGCTACTACAAGGTGAAGAAAGAGTGTCAGCTTTGCCATTTTTGAGTTGCTCACTTGTATTTGCATTTTTAGTATTATCTTCAGCCTGCAGCTCTTAGAAAAAAATCTTTTTAAACCACTTGTCCACTTTATGATAGTTTAATTAAAACTAGATAATTTAATACACAAATCCACTCAACCTGGTCCACAGAAACTGCAGCATGTTGTAATGTGCTGAAAATGTGCAAACAAGAAAGAGTAGAGTGCTCAACCCTTGCTTTGGGCCCTCATAGCCTTCACTCGGAACACCTGCATGCCAGATGACACTTAGGACCATTTTCCATATGACCCAAATAATGAGTCTGGTGACAATTTATATAGTGATATAATTAAAGCTTATTTTCTTTACATTTTAGCTTAGCATTATAAACAGAAAGTCTAATAATTTCTTTCTGCATCTCAGTGGGTTGCTTTGCACCCTATATGAAGACTGTTGGCCTTGATAATAAAATTCAAATTCTTAATGCAATGTTTATTAGATTAGACTGCTTAGGATTATATAAACTTTCTTGACTGAAACAAGATTTGCTCACTTCCTCAACCACAAATGCTTATGAGAAGTTTTCTATTTTGCTCAATATTAATAATGCAATGATGCCTTTTTACTTTTTTTCAAAGGAACCTACGGTCATTTTACTGATTTCAGGGATCTTGAAACCATATTAAATAATGCTTTTAATTCAAGAATTAGTCACACATTTCTTGGCATATTATCATATAAGAGAGCAAGGAAGAAGTGCTCATTAGGGTAATCACTAAAAATTCAGTAATCTTTTACCTATTTGTTACTACTTAATAATCTCTCAACTTTTCTCAGAATTACAAAGTACTGGAGGTTTATGGGTTCCATCCTTCCATAACACCAATTGCTTATTTATTTTCTCCCCTATCTGCAATAATCTGTGATCTTCAGAAAAGTAATTTAGGTGGGTATGAGATCATGCATAATCCCACCACCAAGGATGTTCTCTCCATCCTTCCACCAAATGTGCTTGCAATTTCTCTGATAAATGGGCAGTAAGTGAGCAAAATTCTGACACACAGACACATTCTTACAGTCTTCCTTTGGAAGGAAACAAAGTTAAGAAAGGGATGCTTAAGGGCTCTTTGGAGCATCCATGACTTTGGCTTTTAATACTGTGGTTGAAGAAGGTAATCCTATACTACAAACTGAAAGTATCTATTTCTGAATAGACAGAAGGATAAAGCCATGACTCAACTCTACTAGGAATTGGGTGTGTGGTTTCCTGAGAACTGCACAAGTAGGCTTGATGCTTAGATTCCTAAACCAGACCCTCAGGCATATTCTATTGCCTAAGCGTTCTTACAGTGCAGAAGACATGCCTGATACTAATCTTTTCTAGTTTCTCCAGCTGAGAAAGCCTTTTGTGTTCGTGTTCTTTCTAACTTTCTCCATCTCTCCCACTCCTTCATTTCCTCGTGCCTTCTCTCCCTCTCTTTTCCCCTCTCTTTCTTTTCTCCATCCCTTCCTTCTTTCTTTTCCCCTCCCTACCTTACTTCTTATTCTTCCTCCCTCTCCTCTTTGTTTTCCTTCTTTTCTCCTCCTCTTTCTTCTTTCTTCCTCCTCTTTCTTCTTCTCCTTATCCTTCTTTTTCTACTCTTTCTCCTTCATTGTTTTAAAACTTAAATCTAGAGACAACACATCCACCCCTGCTACACACACTTATCAATTCCTGCTGTTTGTCTTCTACTTGGTATCAGTCACAGACACTAATAATGAATGACTTGCAATTAATACCTCATTCTTTAAATAAATGATTCTTAATTTAGACCAAATACAAGTAGGCTTTATGTTAGTGAAGATGGTGTCCTACCTCTCTAGCTCCAGTGGAATATAAGCATATAGTCAACAGTTTCAAAAAATAGTCATTGAATACCTTCTGAATGTCAACCCCATGGTGGATATTTTGGATGCCAAGAAAGAGTGAACACCGTGCGTGTCTTTTGAGTTCAAGGACTACTTGAGGAGCAAACTCATAAATAGATGAATTAGTACGTTTTTCTGGGACAGGATTTACTATTGCAACAATAAATGTTATAATAGAGATAGAGACTTCTGTAATCTATTCCTCATGTATCACTTTTTTCCATTTTTTATTAGAGTAAAATACACATAACACAAAATATTTATCGTAACCATTTTTAAGTGTACAGCTCATTGGCACTCAGTACATTCAAAGTGATGTGCAACCATCACCACCATCCGTATTAAGAACTCCTTTAATCTTGCAACACTGAAACTGTACCAATTAAACAGTAACTCCTCCTTTCTCCCATTTCCCAGCCCCTAACACCATTAATCTACTTTCTGTCTCTATGAGTGTAACCACACTAGGTAGCTCATATAAGTGGAATAATAGTGTTTGTCTTTTTGTATCTGGCTTATTTTACTTAGCATTATGTCCTCAAAGACCATCTATGTTGTAGCAAGTGTCACAATTCCTTTTTTAAGGCTGAATAATATTCCATTTTATGTACATAAAACTTTTTGCTTATTCATTCATAAGTCAATGGATACTTGGATTTCTTCCGTTTTAGCTATAGTGAATAATGCTGTTATTATCATGGGTCTACAGATATCTTTTCAAGACCCAGAAGTAACTTGATGTATTATATGATTATTTTAGTTTTACTTTCTTGAGGGGCTGCTATACTGTTTTGCAAGGCATCTGTATCATTTTACATGACCATCAACAGTGCACTATGGTTCCAATTTCTCCATATCCTCACCATTTTTTAAATTTTTTGTTTTATTCTATAGTAATCATTGTAATGGTTGTGAGATAGTATCTCATTGTAGTTTTGACTTGGATTTCCCCAATTATTAATGATATTGAGCCTATTTTCATATGTTTATTGCCTATTTGTGTACCTTCTTTAGAGAAATATCTATTAAGTTCTTTTGCCCATTTTCAAATTGAGTTGTACTTTATTGTCAAGTTTTAGGAATTCTCTATGTATTCTGAATATTAATACCATACTAGATATATGATTTGCAACTTTTTTTCCATTCTGTGAGTTGTCTTTTTACACTTTTGGCAGTGTCTTTGGTACCTAAAATTATAAAATTTTCATAAAGTCCAATTTACTTATTATTTGTTATTGTTGTTCCTTATGCCTTCGTTGCCATATTCAGGAAGTCATTCCCAAATCTAATGTTGTGAACTTTTTGTCCTATACTTTCTTCCAAAAGATGTAGTTCCAGGTCTTATGTTTAGATCATGAATTCATTTTCAATTAATTTTTGTATATAGTGTGATTTAAGGGTCCGACCTCATTGTTTTGCCTGTGGATATGTAGTGTTATCAGAACTATTTTTTCAAAAGACTGTCTTTTCTCTATTGAATGATCTTGGTACTCTTCTTGAAAATAATTTGACCATAAATGTTAGGGTTTATTTCTGAACTCTATCATTTATGCCAATACTGCACTGTTTTATTTCATTTTTTAAATTTTAATTTAATTTTTTGTTTGTTTGAGATGGAGTCTCGCTCTGTCGCCCAGGCTGGAGTGCAGTGGCACATTCTGGGCTCACTGCAACCTCTGCCCCCTGGGTTCAAGCAATTCTCCTGCCTCCACCCACCGAGTAGCCAGGATTATAGGTGTGGGCTACCACGCCAGGCTAATTTTTGTACTTTTAGTAGAGACGGGTTTTCGCCATGTTGCCCAGGCTGGTCTCGAATTCCTGACCTCAAGTGATCCGCCCACCTCAGCCTCCCAAAGTGCTGGGATTACAGGTGTGAGCCACTGCGCCCAGCCAAAACGGTTTTGATTAAAGCGATGTAGTAATTTTTAAAATCAGCAAATGTGAATTCTCCAGCTTTGTACTTGTTTTTAAGGATTATTTTGGCTATTTGGAGTCTCTTAAGATTCCATATGAATTTTAAAATGGGTTTTTCTTTCTATCTGAAAGGAAAAGTTTTGGGGGTTTAGATAGGAATTGCATTAATCTTGTAGATTGATTTGTATAGTACTGACATCTTAGCATATTAAATCTTTCAATCCATGAATTTGGGATCTATTTACTTATATTTTCTTCAACTTCTTTCAGATATCTTTTATAGTTTTCGTTGCACAAGTCTTCCATCCCATTGGTTCAGTTAATTATTTATTCTGTTTATGGCTATTGAAAATGGGTTTTTTAAAAAAAATTCATTTGGGGTTATTCATTGTTAATGTACAGAAATGCAACTGATTTTTTCTGTGTTGACTTTGTATCCTGCTACTTTGCTGAGATCATTTATAGTTCCAACAGTTTTTGTGTGGAATTTTAGCACTTTCTACATATCAGATTATATCTGTGAACAGTTTATTTTACCTTTTCCTTTCCATGTTGGATGATGTTCATTTTTCTTGCCTAATAGCTCTGACAGGGATTTTCAGTATTGTGTTGAATAGAAATGGTAGAAATAGTCATTGTTTCCTTATTCTTGATCTTAGAGGGAAAAAAATCAATCTTTTATCATTAAGTGTAATCTTCTCTGTGCATTTTTATGGCTTTTATTATGTTGAGGTTGTTTTCTTCTATTTTTAGTTTATTGGGTATTTCTATCATGAAAGAGTACCAAATTTTGTCTAATGCTTTTTCTACATTATTTGAGATGACCATATGTGGTTATTTTCCTTTATTTTGTTAATGTGGTGTATAACATTGATCAGTTCTTACATTCCTGAAATAAATCCCACTTGGCCATGGTGTACAATCATTTTCATATGTTGCAGAATTCAGTTTACAAATATTTGGTTGATGATTTTTCATAAATGTTCATATAGAATAGTGGTCTGTACTTTTCTGTACTTACAGTGTCTTTGTCTGGCTTTCGTATCAGACTTCATAGAATGAGTTGGGAAGTGTTTCTCTGTAACTTTTTGAAATAGTTTGAGAAAGACTGGTATTATTTTTATATTCTAAATTTCTTTGATCTCTATTCCAATCTTCATTATTTCCTTTCTTTTGCTAGCTTTGGGCTTAGTTTGTTCTCTTTCTAGTTCTTTATGCTGTAAAATTGGAGTGATGATTTGAGATCCTTTTTTTTCTTGTTAAATATAAGCATTTATAGCTATAAATTTCCCCCAGCATGCTTTCATTATGTCCTGTAAGTGTTGGTATGTAGTATTTCAATTTTCACCCATACCTTAAGTATTTTCTAATTTCTCTTATAAATTCTTCGTTGATACATTGATTAAGTATATGGTGTTTGATTTCCACAAATTTGTGAATTTTCTAGCTTTCCTTCTGTTATTGATTTCTAACTTTATTCCATCATGGCCAAAGAAGGTCCTCTGTTGAATATTTATTATTTTAAATCCATTGAGGCTTAATTTGTGGCTTAGCATATAATCTATCCTACAAAACAGGCAACATCCATTTGAGAATAATTTTTGTTGTTGGTGGATAGAGTGTTCTGAATGTCTGTTAGATCTAGCTGGTTATTGTTCTGTTCAAGTACTGTATTTTCTAACTTATCTTCTGTCTGGTTTTTCTATCCGTTATCATGGGTGGAGGCACTGAAGTTTTCAGCAATTATTATAACCCTATTTCTCTCTTCAGTTTTGTGAATTTTTGCTCCATGTATTTCATGGTCTGTTTTTAGATACATGGATGTTTATAATTATTATATAATCTTGCTCTATTAAAGCTTTTAATATATATTTCTGTCTCTTTTATGCTTTTTTGATTTAAAGCCTATTTTGTATATTAGTATAAACATCCTTGCTTTCATTTAGTTACTATTTTTATGCCATATCTTTTCCATCTTTTTACTTTCAACCTATTTTGTCTTTGAATCTAAAGTGAGTCTCCTATAGATTGCATGAAGTTGGATCATGATTTTGTTGCTGGTGGTTTTTTTTTTTTTTTTTAACCCACTCTGCCAATTTCTGTATTTTGGAGAGTTTGGTGCATTTATAAGAAGTAACTGCCGATAAGGAAGGACTTACTTCTGCCATTTTGTAATTTGGTTTCTAAATGCCTTATGGTTTTGGGTCCCTGATTTCTTGCTGTCTTACAGTCTTACTGTCTTCTTTTGTGTTTAGTTGATTTTTTTGCAATAAAATTTAAATTTCTTTCTCACTTTCTTTTGTGTATATTCATTAGCTATTATCTTTGTGGTTCCAGTGGAAATTATTACATTTATCATCCTAAAGTTATAGCACTCTAATTTGAATTTATACCAGAATAACTTTAATAATATACAAAAATTATTGTCCTTTGCCACTCTATCCCTAATCCTTATGTCACAAAATATAACTTTATTCATTGTATGTCCAAAAATATAAATTAATGTATTTTTTAATGAACAATTATCCCTCAGTATCTGTGGGGGATTGATTCAGAACCCCTCACAGACACCAAAATCTATCAACGCTCAAGTCTCTTATATAAAACTATTAGTATTTGTATATAACCAAATCATGTCTTTCTATATACTTTAAATCATCTCTAGGTTACTTATAATGCCTAATGCAATGCAAATGCTATGTAAATATTTACTACACTGTATTGTTTAGGGAGTAATGCAAAGAAAAAAATAGTCCATTATATTCAGTATAGACATAACCATCCTTTTTTCCAAATGTTTTTGATCCACAATTGGGGGAATCCACAGATGCAGAACCCACGGATATGGAGAACTAACTGACTTAGTTTCTTAAAGTATGTAGAAAACAAAAGGTGTAGTTACAGACCAAAATTAAAATAATACTAGCTTTGAGATTATTATTATTATTTACATGTATTAGTCTCTTCAATCATGTATAAAACAAAAAAGGAGTTATATAACATGTATTTACCTTTACTGAGAAATTTATTTCTTCATACGGCTTTGAGTTACTGTCTACTGTCCTTTCATTTCAATCTGCAGGACTTCTTTTAGCATTTCTTGCAGTGGAGGTTTAGTGGTAATAAATTCTCTCTGCCTTTTCTTATCTAGGAATATCTTAATTTCTCCTTCACTTTTGAAGAATATTTTTGCTGCATATGGGATTTTTGTTTGAGAGTTTTTTTCTTTCTGCACTTTCAATATATTTGCCTCCAATATTTCTGATGAGAAAATTGCTGACAATCTAATTAAGGATCCCTTGTATGTAACAAGTCACCTCTCATGCTGCTTTCAAAATTTGCTTTTCAGGGGAGGAGCCAAGATGGCCGAATAGGAACAGCTCTAGTCTACAGCTCCCAGCATGAGCGATGAAGAAGACGGGTGACTTCTGCATTTCCAACTGAGGTACTGGGTTCATCTCACTGGGGAGTGTCGGACAATGGGTGCAGGACAGTGGGTGCAGTGCGCTGAGCCTGAGCCAAAGCAGGGCAAGGCATTGCCTCACCCAGGAAGTGCAAGGGGTCAGGGAATTCCCTTTCCTAGTGAAAGAAAGCGGTGACAGACGGCACCTGGAAAATCGGGTCATTCCCACCCTAATACTGCACATTTCCAACTTTTCAAATGGTCTCCTGTGCACACCAGGAGATTATATCCTGCACCTGGCTCAGAGGGTCTTACACCCGTGGAGCATCACTCACTGACAGCACAGCAGTCTGAGATCAAACTGCAAGGTGGCAGTGAGGCTGGGGGAGGGGCGCCCGCCATTGCTGAGGCTTGAGTAGGTAAACAAAGCGGCCAGGAAGCTCGAACTGGGTGGAGCCCACCTCAGCTCAAGGAGACCTGCCTGCCTCTGTAGACTCCACCTCAGGGGGCAAGGCATAGCCAAACAAAAGGCAGCAGAAACCTCTGCAGGCTTAAATCTCCCTGTCTGACAGCTTTGAAGAGAGTGGTGGTTCTCTCAGCAGGCAGCTGGAGATCTGAGAACAGACAGACTGCCTCCTCAAGTGGGTCCCTGACCCCCGAGAAGCCTAACTGGGAGGCACCCCCCAGTAGAGTCAGATGAACACCTCACACAGCCGGGTACTCCTCTGAGACAAAACTTCCAGAGGAACTATCAGGCAGCAACATTTGCTGTTCACCAATATTCACTGTTCTGCAGCCTCTGCTGCTCATATCCAGGCAAACAGGGTCTGGAGTGGACCTCCAGCAAACTCCAACAGACCTGCAGCTGAGGGTCCTGACTGTTAGAAGGAAAACTAACAAACAGAAAGGACATCCACACCAAAACCACATCTGTACATCACCATCATCAAAAACCAAAGGTAGATAAAACCACAAAGATGGGGAAAAAACAGAGCAGAAAAACTGGAAACTCTAAAAATCAGAGTGCCTCCCCTCCTCCAAAGGAACACAGCTCCTGACCAGCAACGGAACAAAGCTGGATGGAGAATGACTTTGACGCATTGAGAGAAGAAGGCTTCAGATGATCAAACTACTCCGAGCTAAAGGAGGAAGTTAGAACTGATGGCAAAGAAGTTAAAAACCTTGAAAAAAAAATTAGATGAATGGCTAACTAGAATAACCAATGCAGAGAAGTCCTTAAAGGACCTGATGGAGCTGAAAACCATGGCACGGAAACTACGGGATGAATGCACAAGCCTCAGTAACCGATACGATCAACAGGAATAAAGGGTATCAGTGATGGATGGTCAAATGAATGAAATGAAGTGAGAAGAGAAGTTTAGAGAAACGAGAATAAAAAGAAATGAACAAAGCCTCCAAGAAGTATGGGACTATGTGAAAAGACCAAATCTACATCTGATTGGCATACCTGAAAGTGATGGGAAGAATGGAACCAAGATGGAAAACACTGCAGGATATTATCCAGGAGAACTTCCCCAATCTAGGAAGGCAGGCCAACATTCAAATTCAGGAAGTACAGAGAATGCCACAAAGATACTCCTAGAGAAGAGCAACTCCAAGACACATAATTGTCAGATTCACCAAAGTTGAAATGAAGGAAAAAATGTTAAGGACAGCTAGAGAGAAAGGTCGGGTTACCCACAAAGGGAAGCCCATTAGACTAACAGCTGATCTCTCAGCAGAAACTCTACAAGCCAGAAGAGAGTGGGGACCAATATTCAACATTCTTAAAGAGAAGAATTTTTAACACACAATTTCATATCCAGCCAAACTAAGCTTCATCAGTGAATGAGAAATAAAATCCTTTACAGACAAGCAAATGCTGAGAGATTTTGTCACCACGAGGCCTGCCCTAAAGGAGCTCCTGAAGGAAGCACTAAACATGGAAAGGAACAACTGGTACCAGCCACGGCAAAAACACGCCAAATTGTAAAGACCATCGAGGCTAGGAAGAAACCGCAACTAACGAGCAAAATAACCAGCTAACGTCCTAATGACAGGATCAAATTCACACATAACAATATTAACCTTAAATGTAAATGGGCTAAATGCTCCAATTAAAAGACACAGACTGGCAAACTGGATAAAGAGTCAAGACCCATCAGTGTGCTGTATTCAGGAAACCCATCTTACACTCAGAGACACACATAGGCTCAAAATAAAGGGATGGAGGAAGATCTACCAAGCAAATGGAAAACAAAAAAAAAGGCAGGTGTTGCAATCCTAATCTCTGATAAAACAGACTTTAAACCAACAAAGATCAAAAGAGACAAAGAAGGCCAGTACATAATGGTAAAGGGATCAATTCAACAAGAAGACCTAACTGTCGTAAATACATATGCACCCAATACAGGAGCACCCAGATTCATAAAGCAAGTCCTTAGAGACCTAGAAAGAGACTTAGACTCCCACACAATAATAATAGGAGACTTTAACACCCCATTGTCAACATTAGACAGATCAACAAGACAGAAAGTTAACAAGGATATCCAGGAATTGAACTCAGCTCTGCACCAAGCAGACCTAATGTACATCTACAGAACTCTCCATCCCAAATCAACAGAATATACATTCTTTTCAGCACCACAACACACCTATTTCAAAATTGACCACATAGTTCGAAGTAAAGCACACCTCAGCCAATGTAAAAGAACAGAAATTATAACAAACTGCCTCTCAGACTACAGTACAATCAAACTAGAACTCAGGATTAAGAAACTCACTCAAAACTGCTCAACTACATGGAAACTGAACAACCTGCTCCTGAATGACTACTGGGTACATAATGAAATGCAGGCAGAAATAAAGATGTTCTTTGAAACCAAAGAAAACAAAGGCACAACATATCCGAATCTCTGGGACACATTCAAAGCAGTGTGTAGAGGGAAATTTATAGCACTAAATGCCCACAAGAGAAAGCAGGAAAGATCTAAAATTGACACCCTAACATCACAATTAAAAGAACTAGAGAAGCAAGGGCAAACACATTCAAAAGCCAGCAGAAGGCAAGAAATAACTAAGATCAGAGCAGAACTGGAGGAAACAGAGACACAAAATCCCTTCAAAAAATCAATGAATCCAGGAGCTGGTTTTTTGAGAAGATCAACAAAATTGATAGACCACTAGCAAGACTAATAAAGAAGAAAAGAGAGTAGAATCAAATAGACACAATAAAAAATGATAAAGGGGATATCACCACCGATCCCACAGAAATACAAACTACCATCAGAGAATACTATAAATACCTCTACACAAATAAACTAGAAAATCTAGAAGAAATGGATAAATTCCTCGACACATACACCCTCCCAAGACTAAATCAGGAAGAAGTTGAATCTCTGAATACACCAATAACAGGCTCTGAAATTGAGGCAATAAATAATAGCTTACCAACCAAAAAAAGTCCAGGACCAGACGGATTCACAGCCGAATTCTACCAGAGGTACAAGGAGGAGCTGGTAACATTCCTTCTGAAACTATTCCAATCAATAGAAAAAGAGGGAATCCTCCCTAACTCATTTTGTGAGGCTAGCATCATCCTGATACCAAAGCCTAGCAGAGACACAACAAATAAAAGAGAATTTTAGACCAATATCCCTGATGAACATTGATGCAAAAATCCTCAATAAAATACTGGCAAACCAAATCCAGCAGCACATCAAAAAGCTTATCCACCATGATCAAGTGGGCTTCATCCCTGGGATGCAAGGCTGGTTCAACATACACAAATCAATAAATGTAATCCAGCATATAAACAGAACCAACGACAAAAACCACATGATTATCTCAATAGATGTAGAAAAGGCCTTTGACAAAATTCAACAATCCTTCATTCTAAAAACTCTCTATAAATTAGGTATTGATGGGACGTATCTCAAAATAATAAGAGCTATCTATGAGAAATGCACAGCCAATATCATACTGAATGGGCAAAAGCTGGAAGCATTCCCTTTGAAAACTGGCACAAGACAGGGATGCCCTCTCTCACCACTCCTATTCAATATAGTGTTGGAAGTTCTGGCCAGGACAATCAGGCAGGAGAAGGAAATAAAGGGTATTCAATTAGGAAAAGAGGAAGTCAAATTCTCCTTGTTTGTGGATGACATGATTGTATATCTAGAAAACTCCATCGTCTCAGCCCAAAGTCTCCTTAAGCTGATAGGCAACTTCAGCAAAGTCTCAGGATACAGAATCAATGTGCAAAAATCACAAGCAATCTTATACACCAATAACAGACAAACAGAGAGCCGATCATGAGTGAACTCCCATTCACAATTGCTTCAAAGGGAATAAAATACCTAGGAATCCAACTTACAAGGGATGTGAAGGACCTCTTCAAGGAGAACTACAAACCACTGCTCAATGAAATAAAAGAGGATACAAATAAATGGAAGAACATTCCATGCTCATGGGTAGGAAGAATCAACATCGTGAAAATGGCCATACTGCCCAAGGTAATTTATAGATTCAGTGCCATCCCCATCAAGCTACCAATGACTTTCTTCACAGAATTGGAAAAAACTACTTTAAAGTTCATATGGAACCAAAAAAGAGCCCACATTGCCAAGTCAATCCTAAACCAAAAGAACAAAGCTATAGGCATCACGCTACCTGACTTCAAACTATACTACAAGGCTACAGTAACCAAAACAGCGTGGTACTGGTACCAAAACAGGGTTATAGACCAATGGAACAGAACAGAGCCCTCAGAAATAATGCTGCATATCTACAAGTATCTGATCTTTGACAAACCTGACAAAAACAAGCAATAGGGAAAGGATTCCCTATTTAATAAATGGTGCTGGGAAAACTGGCTAGCCATATGTAGAAAGCTGAAACTGGATCCCTTCCTTATACCTTATACAAAAATTAATTCAAGATGGATTCAAGACTTAAATGTTAGACCTAAAACCATAAAAACCCTAGAAGAAACCTAGGCAATGCCATTGAGGACATAGGCATGGGCAAGGACTTCATGTCTAAACACCAAAAGCAATGGCAACAAAAGACAAAATAGACAAATGGGTTCTAATTAAACTAAAGAGCTTCTGCACAGCAAAAGAAACTACCATCAGAGTGAACAGGCAACCTACAGAATGGCAGAAAATTTTTGCAATCTACTCATCTGACAAAGGGGTAATATCCAGAATCTACAATGAACTCAAACAAATTTACAAGAAAAAAACAACCCCATCAAAAAGTGGGCAAAGGATATGAACAGACACTTGTCAGAAGAAGACATTTATGCAGCCAAAAGACACATGAAAAAATGCTCATCATCACTGATCATCAGAGTAATGCAAATCAAAAGCACAATGAGATACCATCTCCCACCAGTTAGAATGGCGATCATTAAAAAGTCAGGAAACAACAGGTGCTGGAGAGGATATGGAGAAATAGGAACACTTTTACACTGTTGGTGGGACTGTAAACTAGTTCAACCATTGTGGAAGTCAGTGTGGTGATTCCTCAGGAATCTAGAACTAGAAATACCATTTGACCCAGCCATCCCATTACTGGGTATATACCCAGAGGATTATAAAACATGCTGCTATGAAGACACATGCACAAGTATGTTTACTGCGTCACTATTCACAATAGCAAAGACTTGGAACCAACCCAAATGTCCAACAATGATAGACTGGATTAAGTAAATGTGGCACATATACACCATGGAATACTATGCAGCCATAAAAAATGACGAGTTCGTGTCCTTCATAGGGACATGGATGAAGCTGGAAACCATCATTCTCAGAAAACTATCACAAGGACAAAAAAACAAACACCACGTGTTCTCACTCATAGGTGGGAATTGAACAATGAGAACACATGGACACAGGAAGGGGAACATCACACACCAGGCCTGTTGTGGGGTGGGGGGAGGGGGAAGGGATAGCATTAGGAAATATACCTAATGTTAAATGACGAGTTAATGGGTGCAGCACACCAACATGGCTCATGTATACATATGTAACCAACCTGCACATTGTGCACATGTACCCTAAAACTTAAAAGTACAATAAAAAAAAATTATTTTCGTATTTGGCTTTTGCGAGGTTGATTATAATGTGTGAATGTTTTAAAATTAATCCTCCTGCCTCTTGGATGTTTATATTTATGTATGTTATTGAATTTGGAAAGTTTTCAGCTATTATTTTGTTTCAAATTTCTCTCTGTCTCTTTCTCTCCATCCTTCTCCTGGAAAACCCACAGTGAGTATGTCGCTCCCCTTGACGGTGTTCCAGATGTCATTTAGGCTCTGTGCACTTATCTTCAACCTTTTCTCTTTCTGTTCCTCAGACCTAATAATTTATATTATCTTATCCTCAAATTTACTGATATTTTTCTTCTGCCTGCTTAAATTTGTCTTTGAATTTCTCTAATGAATTTTTATTTATTGTATTTTTCATTTTCAGAACTTTTTTACATTTTGTATATCTTTATTAGTATTTCCATTTTGTTCATAAATCATTCTCTTGACTTTCTCTGTCTATATTTAGTTCTTTGAGCACCTATAAGATAGTTGTTTTACAGTATTTGTCCAGTAGATTCACCATCAGATCTTCATCAAGGACAGTTTCTGTTGGCTTATATACTTTTTTTCTTTGTATGCTTTGTGATTTTTTCTTGTTGTTGATGAAAACTTGACATTTCAATTTAATAATATGATAACTTTGAAAATCAGATTTTTTTCCTTCTCCAGATTTTGGATTTTTTAAAATTTTTGCTTTAAAAAAATTATAGGCTGTCTCTGCCAAAGACTAGCCTCATGTGTAGACCTAAGATCTTCTTAGGTCTTTTTTGAGCCTGTGCCTTCCCCTTGGCATGTACTTTGCCTTTTTTATTTCCCCTGCGTATGCAGTTGCATTTGATGAGCTAGTCTTCAATGTTTGTGTCCCAAAAGAAGAAAACGAGAGAAATGAAAGGGAGGGAGATAAAAGGCACCAGCCTTTTAAATGCCCTGGAAGTCACTTCAGAGGGGGAGGGGCCTGCAATGATGGGAGGGGGTGCAACAACAATGGCCACCTGACTCTTTGCCCCTCTGTGATCAGAAGCAGCAGTTGGTGATTAGTGCACAGATCCCTGACATTTGGAGGACAGGGTCTTTTTTGCCCACCCTGGCTCCAGTGTTCTTGCTGCTTCAGGAAATTATGTACAACTGTCAGCTGTCAGAGAATGGGATGAGTAGCTGCTACTGTGCTCAAAGCTGAAATTGACCAAATGTAACCATAATTTACTGTTCATGCCTTTCTCTGGGAGTTTCAAGCCTTACATAGACTTCAAAGTTCCAAAATAGTTACATCAGAAAGACTCTGCCAGTGCAATTGTTAGCTATGTGGGGAGACAGACTCCTGGTTCTTCCTACTCTACTGTCTTCCCAGAATCTTCTTTCAAAGGATTGACTTTTATAGCTCTCAAAGATTTACATAAGCTTAGCAGATCTTCTGAATTTATAAATTTGTTGATTCCAATACACATTGATTCCAACTTAATCATTCCTTTCTATGATCTTTATGAATTTCTAATCTTCTTTTTTCCTTGTTTTCTTTGTTTCTCTGCTCTATTATCATGATAGATTTAGTTGCCGATTCATTTTCTTCAATCTTTTCCCAAACTTTACTCCTTGCTGGCTTCCATAAGCAATGTAAACATACTGATAGTACATTTATTTTTGTAGCTTTACTGAGGAGTTTTTGTTTATGGAAGATTGTGGTGACACAGGGTAACCACCTTTCAGAATATGTAGTGATCATTGCTAATTTGGCTGTTCAACTTCTCTTTTTTGACTAGTCTCCTCAGCCTCCACTGCCTTTCATAGGCCTATCCTCCCAACTTGTGACCTACTCCACCAGACATAGAGACTTAAAAAGGGAAGTCTGGAATCCAAATCATTTCTAATAGTTTTCTATTGCTGCTGCAATAAATTACCACAAACTTAGTGTCTTAACACAAATTTAATATTTTACATTTCTTCAGGTTGGAAGTCTGACATAGTTATCATTGACTAAAATCAATGTATGAGCAGGCCCGTATTTCTTTCTGTAGCCTCTAGGGAAGAATTTCCCTGCCTCTTCCAGCTTGTAGTGGCTGCCTACATTCCTTGGCTAGTGGCCTCAGTATTCTGTCTTTAATGCCAGCAAATTTGCACCCCTGTTATCATTCCTCCATAGTCACGTCTCTATCTGACTTTCCTCTTCTGCCTTCCTCTTTTACTTTTAAGGGCCCTTGTGATTACATTGGGCTCACCCAAGTAACCCAGGATAATCTTCCTAATTTGTGGTCAATATATTAGCAAACAACTTATCTGAAACCTAGTTTCTCATTACTATGTAACCTAACATATTCACAGGTTCCAAGGATTAGGCGGAGGGTATATTTGAAATGTAGGAAGCTGGGACATCATTCTGCCTACCACACTATTATTCTTATTAAATTTATATAATCTGATTTTGTGCCACTTTCCTGCCCCTCAGGGTTTTAAACATTCTTAGAAGGTCACCTTTTCCTCTATAAACAAATAAACTGTCCTGAGCTTATGCACACCTTTTGGTTTCATCTCCCCCTCAGAATGTATAAAAACTCTTGGAGAATGAGGTTCCCTGTCTCCTATTATGTTGTTTCTCCCTTTCTTCATCCACGTCAAATGTCTGCTCCCTTTCTACCACCCTGCATTACTCCAAGCATGTGATATAGATATTTTAAAATTTTTAATTTTTCACTCTCACAAACATCACTACAGACACATTTGTTGTGAATAGGCTATGTTACTTAATGGCTAGAGTTGGCTAATGTGGTGGATGCTATGATGGTCACCCAAGCCCCCTTTCAGAGATGAGGAACTTACTCCCCAGCTGATGACAGCGCTGCCATAGGATGGCTTTAACTGTCATCCTCCTGGAGGATGGTCTCCGCTGAGGAAAACTGCCTTGCCCAAGGACCAAGCAGCATCCAATGACTGATAAGCAGGGTTATAAGGGCCTGACACCCTTGTCCCAACTTAGGACAACTTTGAAGGGCTTTCCTAGCTTTAGGACTTTCTGTAGGTCAGGTTTGAGGTCTTTGTTGAGACTATATCACTGTCGAGCTTCTTCTTACGCCCAATCTCCTCTCTTTTCCATCCTTTCCATAACTTCTAAAAGCCCTAAATAAGCACCCTGCACATTGACCTCTATCTTAGAGAATGCATCTCTCAGAACTCAACTTGCATCAGCTAAATTGCACTACAATAAATTTGTTAACAGGCAACAACTTGAAATTAAGCATGAAATATCCCTGAAAATTCCCTGGGTTTTCCTCCTAGTTATTCTCCCTTTTTCTCATTCCAGGACTTTCACAATTCTCTGTCCTCAATTAATGGTGAAGATTTACAATGTGTGTTACTTTTTTATTTAACTTTTTAGGCAGATTTTAGATAAACTTACAGAAGAGTTTCAAAAATAGTACATGTTTTTCATATATTCTTCACCCAGCCTCCCTAATGAAAGTATCTTATATAATCAAGGTATGATGATCAAAACTATGAGATAAATGTACTACCTAAACTCACAAACATTATTAAGATATCAACAGTTTTCTCACTAATATTCTTTTTTTTTTTCCTTACAGGATCCCACATTGCATTTATTTGGCATATCTCTCTTTAGTCTCCACCGATCTGTGAGAATTTCTCTGTATTTTCTTATCTATCATAACCCTGTCATGTTTGAAGAGTAGTAGTCAGGTATTTTGTAGAATGTCCCTTAATTTAAGCCTGTCTGATCTTTTCTCATGGCTAGATTAAGGATATGGATTTTTGGGAAGAATACCATAAAGGTGACGTGCCCTTCTCACACATCATATCAAGAGATACATAATATCAATGTCTTATTACTGGTGATATAACTCATTTGATTAATGTGGTTTTGGCCAAGTTTGTATAAAGGTAACTATAAAGTTACTATGTTTTTCTTTGAAATAGATAAATATTTGGAGAGAATACTGTGATTTATTACTATGATGTTTTGCTTTTATTATTTGGAATTCATTTGTAAGGAAGATCTGTCCATTTCTCCCACATATTTATTTATTGTATTATTTTGTACAGTACAGACTCATGGATGTTTAATTTTTCTGTTTTACAATCCAATGCTATCATTATTCAGTTTCTTCCTCAAATTATCCTATATTTGAAAGTCCTTTAAGGTTCACTTCTATTCCTTTTTATCTACCCTTTTTTATTACTTTTTGGCACCACAATATGGTCCAGATTCATTTTGACTTTCCCCTACCCCAGCCATGAAATCACCAATTCTTCAAAGAGCCCTAGTTCCTTTTTTGAAGAATGAGATTTAGCAACCAAAATGTGAGCACTGTATATGCACGTTGCTAGTGGGGTGCCACTGTGTCAAGGCCCTCTTAGGAGACAGAACTAGGAAATAAATGTATGACTACTAGTGGATGCATCATGTTTATACACATATCATATTCATTTCTGCGTGTATTTATCTATCCATGTATCTATCTATAAAATGAGGTCATTCTGATAGTTTTGATTCCAAATCAACACCAAAGGATTTATGCTAGTAACTGCCCCCAAGCAATTATTTATAAATATTTTCACCAAAGGTGAGACTCTAGGATTCCATTATCTACAACATATTTATTTACATGTTCAACTCCAGTAAACAGGTGAAGTAGTTTTACAAACCCATTTCCCTATGGGAAACAAATTAACCAGCCAGAGTACAGCTTTTTGTTTGTTTCTTAACAGGTTTTGAACCCCTGAATGGAAGCATAATCAATGTGAATATTCTCTGCTCTTTCTATGGACTTGGTTTGCTTTTCTGATTTCTATTCACTGAAGGTGAAAACTAATGGTTACAGTGTTCTCTGAGATATAATCCCTTTTGACACCACACATTTCTATACTTAAAACCAAGAAACACATCTACTACATATTTTTAAAATCCGAGTGAAAGTTTACAGAATTTTTGATATTCTTTTGAACTTCATACACTTATAGGGAAGAAAATTATCTGCCTAAAGTAAGTTTCTAAATTTTGCAGATGTTTTGCTTAAATTTCTTTTTGTAATAAGGTGTTTTTAAGACCAGAATTTGTTTCTGAAATAATTCACAAAATTACCTCATTTTATTAATTATACCATTGTTCCTCAGGGCTACTTTTAATAACTATCAGAAGAACCAGATACAAGTCTTGGTTCTAGAAGATTAAACTGGGTGAGTGTGGACAAGTCATTTTGTCTGTCTTTCTTAACTTAAATAAGCATATAATTTCCATTTAAAATAACTTTGACAGTACTTTGTAAATAATAAGTTAACATAAAAAACTACACAATTAATTAGCTGCTTCTGTGTATAAGTGATTTTTATTGAAACCACCAATAAAAAATTATTGAGAACTATTATAAACATTGGATAAAACGTGAGCCTGTTCAAGAAACTTAGCTATGGCATGATGAATGTTTTATTATTAGAAGCCCAGCCCATTTGAACTCATTGATGTTGCCATGATGTAGCTTAGCAATCTGGTATACTAGTTGAAGACACAAAGGTGAGACTCTGACTTGACACATTCTGAATGACACATTCTGTAATAAATTCCATGCAAGCCAAATGGAATAATCATCATAGGTTTTTTCTCAGTGAGATTCACCCATAGCCAGAGGTCTCTGACATGTGGGAAGAACTGAACTTCAGTATAAGCCAAAAGTTTAAACTTTGCCTCTCACTGTCCTTTGAGGTTGAAAGCATATGTTTATTTTTTTAAGTGTGTTCTGTTGGTTCTGTATCTGTAATAGGAAGAGCCTTTCCTTAGCAGATGACAGTAGTGGGTATAGAAGGACAATAATAATATAGATAGAGACTGAGAACACTGCTATTGCCTTACTAGACCTTTGCACTTCATTTCATTGATTAAAACAAACAAACAAACAAACAAAAACACACAAAAAGCAGTGCCACTCACCTTAAAAGCAAAAGATCTGATAATGGTGCTGTAAAGTTGGAGAAAAGCAGTATGATAGGCCAATCTTATTGTTTTGCTTTGAGTATGCACTTTTCTGTCTCTTGGGTTAAAGTGGTGTGCCAGGCAATAGTCCATGTCTATGGTCTAGCACAGCTGGTCACTAAAACCATACTCCAGCTATTTGTGGAGTGCCATGTATGAGACTGACTGGGGTCTGTTTTATTCTCAAGACATTTCCTTCAATTTACTGTGATAGAAGAAAATACAGGGAGTGGGTATAGCAACTGCTTAGGCTCACAGATTTAGCAGTAAAATACTATGATTGTACCAAGGAACTTAAAAAGTCATGAATTCAGAGATGACAGGCCCTTAAGAGTTCACAACTTTGGACTACTCTTTCCATAGATAATAAAATCAAGATTAGAGACAGAATGAGAAAGACCTGAGAAAACTTAATGAGGTCATGTTGTGGATGGGACAAGGATCTGAGTCTCCTGCCTTCCAGATCTGTGTTTGCTCTGCGGTACTGCATCTGGCCTCTGCTTGAGTCAAAGGAAATTGTCTAAACCATGCGACTCATTGAGACTAGAGTCTCCCTGGAGCTAAGGGGACCCCTCTATCTGGTAATACTCTTGATAATTCTTCTTTTTCTCTAGGAAATTATAGTTATCAAAGCCTATTCACCTACTTCTTATTTATCCCTCATCATAGTTGAGTGGGGGTAGATATAATTAATTTCATTTTTCTTTTTTTTTTTTTTCAGATGAAGCATCCAAAGTTGAGTTACTTTCTTAAGTTCTTTTCAGTATTGGCACATTTTATATTTTTCTCTTTATTTGGAATTTTTTAAGATAAGGATATTTATCTTAATTCATACTTAGTAATATCCATTATAGTACATACATGGGAGTTTAATTAAATTCTGAATCTTATTTAGATTATTCAAGTCTTAAACCTTTATAGGGATACCATGATCTCTAATTCAGAGGTAGTAATTCCAGCAGAGGGTTGAGGTTTTCTCTAAGGGGCATCTATTCTAACACTCAATGAACATATAATTCTAGCTTCAGTACATCTTTTCCACCATACCACAGGCCTTTATTTTTTTTTAAAGTCTTTGGATCTCATTTTCTATTCTAACATTCAAGGGAGTGATTGCTGTATAAAACAAGAAAGATCATGGCCACTCATTTCTCTTGTACTCATTAAAAAGAGAAAAGTTAGTAAGAAACTATGCACAATAAGTATTGAATTAATAAGATGGCATATCAAAATGGAAAGTCTCTTAAACCTAAATCCCAAATAGTTTTAACACACTCATCACACACTGTGGCTGGACAGTCAGCAGTTATCTCATCCTTCCCCACAGGCCTTGGGTTGTGTTCTGATTCATTAAATAGGTATTCAGTATCTATTGCGTACCAGATGCTGGTCTAAGTTTTAAGGAAACAGCAATGAATAAAAAAGTCTTGCCGTATGTGGAAATTATTGTCTTTTGAAAGCCACAGGTATTAAGCAAGTGAACAGATAATGCAATTTCAAGTGATGTGAGTACTAAGAAAAAAAAAACTTAGTTGGCTATAGTTGGGATGGTATACAGAGGGCAGAGATAGGGTGGAGACTATTTTAAATAGAATGGTCTAGAAGGTCAAATTTTCACAGAAACCTACCTGACATGAAGCATCCTGCCCTTTAAAACTCCTGGGGGTGCAGAGTCTGGGAAGATGAAACAGTATAAAATCCAAAAAGGAGCTGAACATTTTGAAATCACAACAAGGATAGGGTACAGCAAAATGAGTGAGGGGCGATCAGGGAGGTACCTGGGGATGAGGTCTAAGTGGTAAGTAGGCCCACACCATGAAGAGCCTTGTAGACCTTGCTAAAGATTTTCAATTTTATTTGAAACCTGGTGGGAGCATTTTGAGCAGGTGAGTGATGTGATCTGTTTTTTTCATTTGGAATGATCCTTCTGGATGCTATGTCTGGAGAAGCTAAGGCAAAGGGCACAGGACAGCGCATGGAGAGTCCGGAAGTAGGGGACTCAGAGGTCTTTTATGACAGTCTAGGGGATAAATAATTGGGGTTGACTTTATGTATTAGCAGTAGAATTTATAGGAATTGATCAAGTTCATAATATAAGGCTAACATAGCAATAACAGGACTTGCTAAATGGATTGTATAAGAGATATTAGAGAGAAGAGGAGTTGGTAAATATGCCTATGCCTGGACATTTGGACTTAGCAGCTGGGTAAATGGTGATGCCATTTAGTTTGATGGTAAAGTCTTGCGGGGAATGGATTCAGGAAGGAGTTCAAATTTTGTTTTGGACGTGTTTGCTTCCAGGTCTGCAGTACATCCAGGTGTAGTTAGTAGTTGAAAAAATGAGTTTAAAGTTCAGGGGAGAGTTTGAATCTGAAAATACGATTTGGGAGACATCAGTGGAGAGAAGTAAAGGAAGCTAAAGACTGAGCCCCAGGAAGGTTAATATTTTAAGGAATATCCTCCACTTCCTTCCTTTTTGGGACTCTCTGTGGCTCTGCCTCTGCTGGCATTAGCTTGACTGCACACTTGTGTCCCCTGGATACAGTGAAACCCTCAACACCACACAAATCATCAATCCATAGACCTGAACAAAGAGAAAAGGATAACATTGGTGCTTTGTCTGAATCATTGATTTCTTGTCTTCTCAATTTTTGTCCTGTAACCTGCCTTTTGAACATCTTTATTATTATTATTATTATTACTATTATTTTACTATTATTTAGTGGAAAGAGGTCAACAATTATCTTCGTAGGTACCCAGGGAGGGACCCTGCATATATTCACTGGGGTCACTGCCCTGACCATCTGCTTTTTTAGGTCCACTTTTTAGGTCTGCTTCAAGTTTACATGTATATCACAAAAGCCACTTAGGAAAAAATTAGCTTGGAAGGCAATAAAATTACCTGGCAGGAAGTTTGCAGAGACAAATTAAATGCCTGTCTTTGGCTTCTGGAGAAACTGTATTGTTTGGTAAATTTCCAACTATGATATACCTAGAAATTTCTACTTATGGCCATATGGGAGTTTACTGAAGCTACCCTGTGAGGATAGGGGAGACCTGACTAAATAAGGGAGCTAAATTCTAATTCTATTTGAACTGGTGAACTCTGTATACCTAATGTCATATATACATCCTGGACAGTTGTCTACTTTTTAATCTTGGCAGACAGGTGATCACCCCTAGCCAGATTTAAAGAGAGACTACCAGGTAAGAGATGAAGATAAACACTCTCAGGTGGACTTATTTCATGTAACCTCACCGTAGTCCACATAAATTGAATATATGTATTTAAATACACAAACACTGATGGCCAATGTGTCTATAGAACAAGACGGAGTAGAGAGCCTGGAGTATATTTAATCACAACGGCTTGTTGTATAGCTTGGAAATGTGAGGCATGCTGTGCTGGGCAAATGAAAATGTTTAAGATGGTCATAGCAAAGAAAGATTGGCTGGGGCCTCAGAGCGTTTAAAGAGATATGGCCAACAGTCATCACTGTATCAATCAGTCCATAATTCAAGTCCAAAAAACCATAATTAAAAAAACCATAATTCAAGAAAACCATAATTCAAGTCCAAAAACAATTGTGTTTGGCACATCAGACACATTTAATAGTTTTCAAAAAATCCTTTTAAAGCCAGTTGCCTTATAACCAAATTTGCTGCCTTGTGCCTCCCTGGTTTATTTTATATCTAAATGGGTTAAGAATGCCCTGGAGCAGACACAGAATGAACTCTTTCAGGGAGGCATTTGCAGAATTTGTGTCAGAGGAACCCCATTATCCCAATGCTCTGTGGGGCTTATTAGCATTTTTTTTCCTCCTAAGAAGGGTACTGAGACTATCATTCCCCTGCTCAAAAAAACCTTGCTATTACATAAATTCAAAACATTTCAGCACACCATTTGAGACTATTGATTATAATAATAGTAACTGACACTTCTCTTGAACTTTTTATTAAAATCATACACTTTCAGAAACAGATTCCATTTCCATTTTCTCTGCTTCTCACTCCCCCAGTCTTATTTTATTAACTAACGACCCTTTTATCTTTCCTCTTCCCAATTCCTCACCTGATTTTGTTTTGCTAATTTTCTCATGCTTCTGCACCTCTCTAGACCCTCTTTTTTTTCTGATTGAGGAACACCTCTTTTGCATCCAAAAGATTTCATAGAAACTTGGAAGGTTTTCAGTAAGTATTTATTGTGACGAATGAATGAATAACTACATAAACAAGAGCTTGCCTACTTATTGAGATTCAATTTGTCCTTCAAAGCCCATATAAAAAGATGTCACCTCATGAAATTTCCCTTACATCTATTTAAATTAAATTTGTCCTCATGCTTCTTTTTCTGCCTAAAGCTCTTTGTAGCTTAATTATAGAACTTACCACCCTATTAATTACATTTAAGAGTCATATGTTCCTAGGCTGCTTTATAAACTCCTTCAGGCCAAAGTCTTGTCTTCTTCCTTTTATGGGATCTACGGTGATTCCACAGTGCTTTGCATGTGGTAAGTCTAACAGTCATGTGTTACTTGAAGGTAGATATTATTGCTTGAATTTTATATGTAGAATGTCTTTAACTCTTTAAGGGTTTGACCCTACATAAACTGTTCTTCATATATTTCTCTGCTTTCCTATAAAACCAATTTATCTCGTTACTTGAGTATGCTAACTGGCAGGAAATATAAAAAGAAACACATTCAAGAGTGAGAGGAGAGCTGCTTCACGTGCTTGGTTTGTGATATGCAACAGTGAAATTGCACCAATAAGGAAACCGGAGCGTCCATTTAAAATTAGTGAGCTAAGGGTCTCTTCAAGTAAAATTCACACAGATGATTTCCTAGAGTCCCTAGGCTTAGGTTTTTTTAAGCCATGAGTTCTCCTTCCTGAGACCAGTTCCATGGGTGTGGAAGATACTGACTTATCTCAGGTTATAATTTCCATGTCATTCTTCCAGCACCTGGCTGGTGTTGGATGGGTCAGGTTTTGTTTGGAATTAGAGACAGACCTTTACTTTCATGTGATTGTCACAAGGTAAACTCCAAAACTGGGGTTCAGCTCAGGAGGCCATGGGGGTTCTTGGATTTGCAAAAAAATTCAAGAGCAAGCCAACAGAGTAAAGTGAAAGCAAGTTCTTTAAGAAAATAAAGGAATAAAAAGGTGGCTGCTCCCTAGGCAGAGCAGCCCTGATAGCTGCTGGCTATTTTTATGGTTATTTCTTGATCATATGCTAAACAAGGAGTGGGTAATTTATGAGTTTTCTGGGAAAAAGGCTGGAGTTTCCCAAAACGGAGGGTTCCTTCCCCTTTCAGGCCATATAAGGCAATTTCCGGATTGCCATGGCATTTGTAAACTGTCATGGCACACATGGGAGTTTCCTTTAGTATGCTAATGTCTCATAATTAATATTTAATGAGCAGTGAGGATGACCAGAGGTCACATTTGTTGCCATCATGGTTTTGGTGGGTTTTGGCTGGCTTCTTTACTGCATCCTGTTTTATTAATGGGGTCTTTGTAACCTGTATCTTGTGAAATAAGTCCTGCCAAACTCCTAATTCATCATGTGTCTTTTCACGAGAAAATAAATCACTAGCTAGCTACTGAGTCTATTTCATTTTATTAGGTTGGTGCAAAAGTAATTGTGCTTCTTCCCATTAAAAGTAAGCATTTCATTTGTAAAATATAAATTAAATTCATCACTCAAATGAGGAAGGGAACTCTAGCATAAGTTATATGGAAAAGAGTATTTCCAGCTCAAAGAACAGCAAGTGCAAAGGTCTTGAGGTAGCAGTGGGACTTTAGTGCTCAGGTATAGCAAAAAGACCAGGTGGCTGGACCAGAGTGATTGAGGATGAGTCATAGGTAAGGAAGTCATAGAAGTAATGAAGGTTGAGATTTTAAGCAACCTGGTAGCTGCTAGTAAAGATTTTTGCTTCACATTGTGTAAAATGGAAAGGCATTGGTGAGTCTTGAACAGAGTTAGAACACAATTTAAGTTACATTTTGAAATGATTACATGGCTGCTATGTTAGGAACTGACTCTAGGTGAGCAACATTGTTACCAGAGTAACCAGTTAGGAGGATATCATTATTATCAAGCTGTGAGATGGTGGCAGTTTGACCAGGGGTATGGTGGTAAAGGTACTAGTACATGCTGGTTCCTGGTTATGTTTTGAAGGTAGAACCAACAGGATTTGTTGGTGGGATTGGGTATGTGGTGTGAGAAACAGAGAAAGGAATCAAGGATTACTTTGCAATGTTTTTAGTCTCAGTAAATAGAAATATAAAGTTGTCCTTAAATAAAATGAAGAAAACTATAGAGTGATTATGTTGGAGGAAAGATCAGGGATTTGGTTTTGGACATAATAAGTTTCAAATGCGTAACAGTTATCCATGTGGAGCTATTCAGTAGATAGTTGGATGTCAGGGCCTCAACCTCAGGGCAATCTAGGTTGAGATGTAAATGTGGTAATGCTCTGCATATAGATTGACTATAAAGGCATGTGGTTAGATGATGTCACTTAAAGAGCGATTAAGCACAGGAAGCTCAAGTATCCAGACTTGCTGGGAAAGGAGGGAGCATCATTAACTGAGACCCAGAGGGAGTAGCCAGTGAAGTAGGTTAGAAATCAGGTGAAAGATGGCCGAATAGGAACAGCTCTGGTCTGCAGCTCCCAGCATGATCAATGCAGAAGATGGGTGATTTCTGCATTTCCAACTGAGGTACCTGGTTCATCTCATTGGGACTGGTTGGACGGTGGGTGCAGCCCATGAAGGGCGAGATGAAGCAGGGTTGGGGTGTTGCCTCACCCGGGAAGCACAAGGGGCCAGGGAATTTCCCTTTCCTAGCCAAGGGAAGCTGGAACAGACTACCTAGAAAAACAGGACACTCTCACCCAAATACTGCACTTTTCCCAAGGTCTTAGCAACCAGCAGATAAGGTAATTCTCTCCCATGCCTGGCTCAGCAGGTCCCACACCCACAGAGCCTTGCTCACTGCTAACACAGCAGTCTGAGATCGATCTGCAAGGACTCTACCTCTGAGGGCAGGGCATAGCTGAACAAAAGGCAGCAGACAACTGCAGACTTAAACGTCCCTGTCTGACAGCTCTGAAGAGAGCAGTGGTTCTCCCAGCACTGTGTTTGAGCTCTGAGAATGGACAGACTGCCTCCTCAAGTGGGTCCCTGACCCCCGTGTAGCCTAACTGGCAGACACCTCCCAGTAGGGGTTGACAGACACCTCATAAGCGGCTGCCCATCTAGGACGAAGCTTCCAGAGAAAGGATCAGGAAGCAATATTTGCTGTTCTGCAGCCTCTGCTGGTGATACCCAGGCAAACAGGGTCTGGAGTGGAAGTCCAGCAAACTCCAACAGACCTGCAGCTGAGGGACCTGACTGTTAGAAGGAAAACTAACAAACAGAAAGGAATAGCATCAACATCAACAAAAAGGTCCTCTACACCAAAACCCCATCTGTAGGTCGCCAACATCAAAGATCAAAGATCAAACCACAAAGATGGGGAGAAACCAGTGAAGAAAAGCTGAAATTCTAAAAATCAGAGCACCTCTTCTCCTCCAAAGGATCGCAGCTCCTCCCCAGCAATGGAACAAACTGGATGGAGAATGACATTGATGAGATGACAGAAGTAGGCTTCAGAAGGTCAGTGATAACCAACTCCTCCAAGCTAAAGGAGGATGTTCAAGCCCATCGCAAAGAAGCTAACATCCTTGAAAAAAGATTAGACGAATGGCTAACTAGAATAAACAGTGTAGACCTTAAATGACCTGATGGAGCTGAAAACCATGGCAAGATCAAATTAATGAAATAAAGTGAGACGATAATTTTAGAGGAAAAAAGAGTAAAAAGAAATGAACAAAGCCTCCAAGAAATATAAGACTATGTGAAAAGACCAAACCTACGTTTGATTGGTGTACTTGAAAGTGATGAGGAGAATGGAACCAAGTTGGAAAAGACTCTTCAAGATATTAACCAGGAGAACTTCCCCAACCTAGCAAGGCAGGCCAACATTCAAATTCAGGAAATGCAGAGAACGCCACAAAGATACTCCTTGAGAATAGCAACCCCATGACACATAATTGTCATATTCTCCAAGGTTGAAATGAAGGAAAAAGTGTTAACGGCAGCCAGAGAGAAAGGCTGAATTACCTACAAAGGGTAGCCCATCAGACTAACAGCTGATCTCTCGGCAGAAACCCTAAAAGCCAGAAGAGAGTGGGGGCCAATATTCAACGTCCTTAAAGAAAATAATTTTCAACCTAGAATTTAATATCCAGCCAAACTAAGCTTCATAAGTGAAGGAGAAATAAAATCCTTTACAGACAAGCAAACGCTGAGAGATCTTGTCACCACCAGGCCAGCTTTACAAGAGCTTCTCCTGAAGGAAGCACTAAACATGGAAAGAAACAACTGGTATCAGCCACTGCAAAAACATGCCAAATTGTAAAGATCATCAATGCTATGAAGAAACTCCATCAATTAATGGGCAAAATAACCAGCTTACATCATAATGACAGGATCAAATTCACACATAACAGTATTAACCTTAAATGTAAATAGGCTAAATGCCCAATTAAAAGACACAGACTGGCAAATTGGATAAAGAGTTAAGAACGTTTAGTGTGCTGTATACAGGAGACCCATCTCACATGCAAAGATGCACAGAGGGTCAAAATAAAGGGATGGAGGAAGATCTAACAAGCAAATGGAAAGCCAAAAAAAAAAAAAAAAAAAAAAAAAAAGCAGGGATTGCAATCCTAGTCTCTGATAAAACAGACATTAAACAAACAAAGATCAAATGAGACAAAGAAGGCCATTACATAACGGTAAAGAGATCAATTCAACAAGAAGAGCTAACTGTCCTAAATATACATGCACCTAATACAGGAGCACCCAGATTCATAAAGCAAGTCCTTAGAGACCTACAAAGGGACTAAGACTCCCACTCAATAATAATGGGATACTTTAACACCCCACTGTCAGTATTAGACAGATCAATGAGACAGAAGGTTAACAACGATATCCAGGACCTGAACTCGGCTCTGCAACAAGCAGACCTAATAGACATGTACAGAACTCTTCACCCCAAGTCAAGAGAATATACATTCTTCTCAGCACATCACACTTATTCTAAAATTGACCACATAATTGGAAGTAAAGCACTCCTCAGCAAATGTAAAAGAATAGAAATCACAACAAACTGTCTCTCAGACCACAGTGCAATCAAATTAGAACTCAGGATTAAGAAACTCACTCAAAACTGCACAACTACAAGGAAACTGAACAACTTGCTCCTGAATGACTACTAGGTAAATAACGAAATGAAGGCAGAAATAAAGATGTTCTTTGAAACCAATGAGAAGACACAACATACCAGAATCTCTAGGACACATTTAAAGCAGTGTGTAGAGGGAAATTTATAGCACTAAATGTCCACAAGAGAGAGCAAGATCTAAAATCCACACCCTAACCTCACAATTAAAAGAAGTAAAGAAGCAAGAGCAAACAAATTCAAAAGCTAGCAAAAGACAAGAAATAACTAAGATCAGAGCAGAACTCAAAGAGATAGAGACACAGAAAACCCTTCAAAAATCAAGGAATCTAGGAGGCGGTTTTCTGAAAAGATCAAAAAAATTGATGGACAGCTAGCAAGACCAATAAAGAAGAAAAGAGAGAAGAATCAAATAGACGCAAAAAAAAAAAAAAATGATAAAGGGGATATCACCACCAATCCCACAGAAATACAAACGACCATCAGAGAATACTATGAACACCTCTATGCAAATAAACTAGAAAAACTAGAAGAAATGGATAAATTCCTCAACAAATACACCCTCCCAAGACTAAACCAGGAAGAAGTTGAATCTCTGAATAGACCAATAACAGGCTCTGAAATTTAGGCAATAATTAATAGCCTATCAACCAAAAAAAGTCCAGGACCAGTCAGATTCACAGCCGAATTCTACTGGAGGTACAAAGAGGAGCTGGGACCATTCCTTCTGAAATTATTCCAATTAATAGAAAGAGAGGGAAACCTCCCTAAATCATTTTATGAGGCCAACATCATCCTGATACCAAAGCCTGGCAGAGACACAACAAACAAAAGAGAATTTTAGACCAATATCCGTGATAAACATTGATGCAAAAATCCTCAATAAAATACTGGAAAACTAAATCCAGCAGCACATCAAAAAGCTTACCCATCACGATCAAGTTGGCTTCATCCCTGGGATGCAAGGCTGGTTCAACATACACAAATCAATAAACATAATCCATCACATAAACAGAACCAAAGACAAAAACCACATGATTATCTCCATAGATGCAGAAAAGGCCTTTGACAATATACAACAGCACTTCATGTTAAAAACTCTCAATAAACTAGGTATTGTTGGAACATATCTCAAAATAATAAGAGCTATTTATGACAAACCCACAGCCAATATCATACTGAATGAGCAAAAACTGGAAGCATTCCCTTTGAAAACTGGCACAAGACAAGGATGCCTTCTCTCACAACTCCTATTCAACATAGTGTTGGAAGTTCTGGCCAGGGCAATCAGGCAAGAGAAAGAAATAAAGTGTATTCAATTAGGAAATGAGGAAGTCAAATTGTCCCTGTTTGCAGATGACATCATTGTAACTTTAGAAAACCTGATCATCTCAACCCAAAATCTCCTTAACCTGATAAGTAACTTCAGCAAAGTCTCAGGATACAAAACCAATGTGCAAAAATCACAAGCATTTCTATACAGCATTAACAGACAGAGAGCTAAATCATGAGTGAAATCCCATTCACAATTGCTACAAAGAGAATAAAATGCCTAGGAATCCAACTTACAAGGATGTGAAGGACCTCTTCAAGGAGAAATACAAACCACTGCTCAACGAAATAAAAGAGGACACAAACAAATGGAAGAATATTCCATGTTCATGGATAGAAAGAATCAATATCATGAAAATGGCCATGCTGCCCAAAGTAATTTATAGATTTATTGCCATCCCCATTAAGCTACCAATGACTTTCTTCACAGAATTGAAAAAAAAACTACTTTAAAGTTCATATGGAACAAAAAAAAAAAAAGCTCACATTGCCAAGACAATCCTAAGCAAAAAGAACAAAGCTGGAGGCATCATGCTACGTGACTTCAAACTATACTACAAGGCTACAGTAACCAAAACATCATGGTAATGGTACCAAAACAGAGATGTAGACCCATAGAACAGAAGAGAGGCCTCAGAAATAACACCACATACCTACAACCATCTGATCTTTGACAAACCTGACAAAAACAAGAAATAGGGAAAGGATTCCCTATTTAATAAATGGTGCTGGGAAAACGGGCTAGCCATATGTAGAAAGCTGAAACTGGATCGCTTCCTTACATCTTTTACAAAAATTAATTTAAGATGAATTAAAGACATAAATGTTAGACCTAAAACCATAAAAACCTTAGAAGAAAACCTAGGCAATACCATTCAGGACATAGGCATGGGCAAGGACTTCATGTCTAAAACACCAAAAGCAACGGCAACAGAAGCCAAAATAGACAAATGGGATCCAATTAAACTAAAGAGCTTCTGCATGGCAAAATAAACTACCATCAGAGTGAACAGGCAACATACAGAATGCGAGAAAAATTTTGCAATCTACCCATCTGGCAAAGGGCTAATATCCAGAATCTACAAAGAACTCAAACAAATTTAAAAGAAAAAAACAACCCCATCAAAAAGTGGGCAAAGGATATGAACAGACACTTCTCAAAAGAAGACATCTATGCAGCCAACAGACACATGAAAAAATGCTCATCATCACTGGTCATCAGAGAAATGCAAATCAAAACCACAATGGGATACCATCTCATGCCAGTTAGAATGGCAATTATTAAAGAGTCAGGAAACAACAGATGCTGGAGAGGATATGGAGAAATAGGAACACTTTTACACTGTCGGTGGGAATGTAAATTAGTTCAACCATTGTGGAAGACAGTGTGGTGATTCCTCAAGGATCTAGAATTACCATTTGACCCAGCAATCCCATTACTGGGTATATACCCAAAGGATTATAAGTCATGCTACCATAAAGACACATGCACATGTATATTTATTGCGGCACTATTCACAATAGCAAAGACTTGGAACCAACCCAAATGTCCATCAATGATAGACTGGATTAAGAAAATGTGGCTCATATACAACATGGAATACTTTGCAACCATAAAAAAGGATTAGTTCATTTCCTTTGCAGGGACATGGATGAATCTGGAAACTATCATTCTCAGCAAACTGTCACAAGGACAGAAAACCAAACACTGCATGTTCTCACTCATAGGTGGGAATTGAACAATCAGATCACTTGGACACAGGGCAGGGAACATCACACACCAGGGCCTGTTGTGGGGTGGGGGACTGGGGGAGGGATAGCATTAGGAGAAATACCTAATGTAAATGATGAGTTGACGGGTGTGGCAAACCAACTTAGCGCATGTATACCTATGTATCAAACCTACACATTGTGCACATGTACCCTAGAACTGAAAGTATAATAATAATAATAATAATGAAAAGAAATCAGGTGCATATGGTGCTTTAGCAACCAATATGAGAAGGTATTTCAAAGTTCAAGTCTGTCATTGTTTTCCACTTGCTTTTAAACTCTTTCTTCTTCTTTTGGTTCTGTAGACAACTGGGTGAAGCTGTAATGTACTGTGACAGATGTTTAACAAACTTGAGAGCGCCAAGATAATCTTAGACCCTTCAATATAATCCCCTTGGGAAGGCATTCACTTCTAAAAATGATGCTTTTGTTGCTCAAGTCACCTGAAGAACTCTATTTTGGGGGCTTACCATCATATTCCCTAGGCCATACACTGGTGGAAAGAATTACTCTCTGCTTTTATTGAAGATTAGGGTTATTTATATTTTTTGTCACCCAAATACAAGTCTAGTGAATAAGGGTTCTCAAGCCAGACATTGTTATACTTGCTCAACATCAAAATAAGATTGATATGCATCCACTGCCACCATTCTTTCAAGTAACATTTTTCTTTTTATTTTAAAATCCATACATGCTCACCAATTTCAAGTTAATAGTTAGAAAATACACAGATAAAGAAAGACGAAAGAACACCCATAATCTTACTTTTATTATTTGCAAATATTTTGCATCATTTTCTCCCTTTCTACTTGCTTTTAATTTCATTGACTGGGGACTTGTGCTCTTATGTACCTCCTGGAATGGTCATTAAGTTGGTTCTCAAAATAAGAGCCACAGGTAATTTTAGATGCCCAGGGATGCTATTTGGAAGTGTGCAATATAAATGTAAATATATAACTTCTCATTTTTAATACATGCTGTATCTCCTTTTTCTTCCTTTTCCCCTCTTTCTACCCTGATTCCCTCTTCCAAATTCTAAATGATCAACCAGTGATTTTAAATTTAAAAAAGGGTTCCAAGATGGCCGAAAAGGAACAGCTCCAGTCTACAGCTCCCAGCATGAGCGATGCAGAAGACGATTGATTTCTGCATCTCCAACTGAGGTACTGGGTTCATCTCACTGGGGATTGTTGGAAAGTGGTGCAGGACAGTGCAGCTCACCAAGTGTGAGCCGAAGCAGGGTGAGGCATCGCCTCACCCAGGAAGCGCAAGGGGTCAGGGAATTCCCTTTCCTAGCCAAGGAAAGGGGTGACAGATGGCACCTGGAAAATCAGGTCACTCCCACCCTAATACTGTTCTTTTCCAACTGTCTTAGCAAACGGCATACCAGGAGATTATATCCCGTGCCTGGCTCAGAGGGTCCTACGCCCACGGAGCCTCACTCATTGCTAGCACAGCAGTCTGAGATCAAACTGCAAGGTGGCAGTGAGGCTGGGGGAGGGGTGCCTGCCATTGCTGAGGCTTGAGTAGGTAAACAAAGCGGCCAGGAAGCTCGAACTGGGTGGAGCCCACCTCAGCTCAAGGAGGCCTGCCTGCCTCTGTAGACTCCACCTCTGGGGGCAGGGCATAGCCAAACAAAAGGCAGCACTAACCTCTGCGGACTTAAATGTCTGTCTGACAGTTTGAAGAGAGTAGTGGTTCTCCCAGCACGGAGTTTGAGATCTGAGAACAGACAGACTGCCTCCTCAAGTGGGTCCCTGACCCCTGAGTAGCCTAACTGGGAGACACCCAACAGTAGGGGCAGACTGACACCTCACACAGCTGGGTACCCTTCTGAGACAAAACTTCCAGAGGAACAATCAGGCAGCATCATTTGCTGTTCACCAATATTCACTGTTCTGCAGCCTCCGCTGCTCATACCCAGGCAAGCAGGGTCTGGAGTGGACCTCTGGCAAACTCCAACAGACCTACAGCTAAGGGTCCCGACTGTTAGAAGGAAAACGAACAAACAGAAAGGACATCCACACTGAAACCCCATCTGTACGTCACCATCATGAAAGACCAAAGGTAGATAAAACCACAAAGATGGGGAAAAAACAGAACAGAAAAACTGAAAATTCTAAAAATCAGAGCACCTCTCCTCCTCCAAAGGAATGCAGCTCCTCACCAGCAACAGAACAAAGCTGGAAGGAGAATGATGTTGACGAGTTGAGAGAAGGAGGCTTCAGACAATCAAACTACTCTGATCTAAAGGAGGAAATTAGAACCCATGGCAAAGAAGTTAAAAACCTTGAAAAAAATTAGATGAATGGCTAACTAGAATAACCAATGCAGAGAAGTCCTTAAAGGACCTGATGGAGCTGAAAACCAAGGCACGAGAAATACGGGACGAATGCACAAGCTTCAGTAGCCAATTCGATGAACTGGAAGAAAGTGTATCAGTGATGGAAGATCAAATGAATGAAATGAAGCAAGAAGAGAAGTTTAGAGAAAAAAGAATAAAAAGAAACAAGCAAAGCCTCCAAGAAACATGGGACTAGGTGAAAAGACCAAATCTATGTCTGATTGGTGTACCTGAAAGTGACGGGGAGAATGGAACCAAGTTGGAAAACACTCTGCAGGATATTATCCAGGAGAACTTCCCCAATCTAGCAAGGCAGGCCAACATTCAAATTTAGGAAATACAGAGAATGCCACAAAGATACTCCTCGAGAAGAACAACTCCAAGACACATAATTGTCAGATTCACCAAAGTTGAAATGAAGGAAAAAATGTTAAGGGCATCCAGAGAGAAAGGTCAGGTTACCCACAAAGGGAAGCCCATCAGACTAACAGCTGTTCTCTTGGCAGAAACTCTACAAGCCAGAAGAGAGTGGGGGCCAATATTCAACATTCTTAAAGAAAATAATTTTCAACCCAGAATTTCATATCCAGCCTAACTAAGCTTCATCAGTGAAGGAGAAATAAAATACTTTACAGACAAGCAAATGCTGAGAGATTTTGTCACCACCAGGCCTGCCTTACAAGAGCTCCTGAAGGAAGCACTAAACATGGAAAGGAAAAACTGGTACCAGCCAGTGCAATAACATGCCAAATTGTAAAGACCATGGAGGCCAGGAAGAAACTGCATCAACTAACGAGCACAATAACCAGCTAACATAATAACAGGATCAAATTCACACATAACAATATTAACCTTAAATGTAAATGGACTAAATGTTCCAATTAAAAGACACAGACTGGCAAATTGGATAAAGAGTCAAGACCCATCAATGTGCTGTATTCAGGAAACCCATCTCATGTGCAGAGACACACATAGGCTCAAAATAAAGGGATGGAGGAAGATCTACCAAGCAAATGGACAGCAAAAAAAGGCAGGGGTTGCCGTCCTAGTCTCTGATAAAACAGACTTTAAACCAACAAAGATCAAAAGAGACAAAGAAGGCCATTACATAATGGTAAAGGGATCAATTCAACAAGAAGAGCTAACTATCCTAAATATATATGCACCCAATACAGGAGCACCCAGATTCATAAAGCAAGTCCTTAGAGACCTACAAAGAGACTTAGACTCCCACACAATAATAATGGGAGACTTTAACACCCCAATGTCAACATTAGACAGATCAATGGGAAAGAAAGTTAACAAGGATATCCAGGAATTGAACTCAGCTCTGCACCAAGCGGACCTAATAGACATCTACAGAACTCTCCACCCCAAATCAACAGAATATACATTTTTCTCAACACCACACCGCACTTATTCCAGAATTGACCACATAGTTGGAAGTAAAGCACTCCTCAGCAAATGTAAAAGAACAGAAATTATAACAAACTGTCTCTCAGAACACAGTGCAAACAAACTACAACTCAGGATTAAGAAATCACTCAAAACCTCTCAACTACATGGAAACTGAATAACCTGCTCCTGAATGACTACTGGGTACATAACGAAATGAAGGCAGAAATAAAGATGTTCTTTGAAACCAATGAGAACAAAGACACAACATACCAGAATCTCTGGGACACATTCAAAGCAGTGTGTAGAGGGAAATTTATAGCACTAAATGCCCAAAAAAGAAAGTGGGAAAGATCTAAAATTGACACCCTAACATCACAATTAAAAGAACTAGAGAAGCATGAGCAATCACATTCAAAAGCTAGCAGAAGGCAAGAAATAACTAAGATCAGAGTAGAACTGAAGGAGATAGAGACACGAAAAACCGTTCAAAAAAATCAATGAATCCAGGAGCTGATTTTTTGAAAAGATCAACAAAATTGATAGACCACTAGCAAGACTAATAAAGAAGAAGAGAGAGAAGAATCAAATAGAAGCAATAAAAAATGATAAACGGGATATCACCACTGACACCACAGAAATACAAACTACCATCAGAGAATACTATAAACACCTCCACGCAAATAAACTTGAAAATCTAGAAGAAATGGATAAATTCCTCGACACATACACCCTCCCAAGACTAAACCAGGAAGAATTTGAATCTCTGAATAGACCAATAACAGGCTCTGAAATTGAGGCAATAATTAATAGCTTACCAACCAAAAAAAGTCCAGGACCAGACGGATTCACAGCCGAATTCTACTAGAGGTACAAGGAGGAGCTGCTACCATTCCTTCTGAAACTATTCCAATCAATAGAAAAAGAGGGAATCCTCCCTAGCTCATCTTATGAGGCCAGCATTATCCTGATACCAAAGCCTGGCAGAGACACAACAAAAAAAGAGAATTTTAGACCAATATCCCTGATGAACATCGATGCAAAAATCCTCAATAAAATACTGGCAAACCGAATCCAGCAGCACATCAAAAAGCTTATCCACCATGATCAAGTGGGCTTCATCCCTGGGATGCAAGGCTGGTTCAACATATGCAAATCAATAAATGTAATCCAGCATATAAACAGAACCAACGACAAAAACCACATGATTATCTCAATAGATGCAGAAAAGGCCTTTGACAAAATTCAACAACCTTCATGCTAAAAACTCTCAATAAATTAGGTATTGATGGGATGTATCAAAATAATAAGAGCTATCTATGACAAACCCACAGCCAATATCATACTGAATGGGCAAAAACTGGAAGCATTCACTTTGAAAACTGGCACAAGACAGGGATGCCCTCTCTCACCACTCCTATTCAGTATAGTGCTGGAAGTTCTGGCCAGGGCAATCAGGCAGGAGAAGGAAATAAAGGGTATTCAATTAGGAAAAGAGGAAGTCAAATTCTCCTTGTTTGTAGATGACATGAATGTATATCTAGAAAACCCCATTGTCTCAGCCCAAAATCTCCTTAAGCTAATAAGCAATTTCAGCAAAGTCTCAGGATACAAAATCAATGTGCAAAAATCACAAGCATTCTAATACACCAATAACAGACAGACAAAGAGTCAAATCATGAGTCCCATTCACAGTTGCTTCAAAGAGAATAAAATACCTAGGAATCCAGCTTCCAAGGGATGTGAAGGACCTCTTCAAGGAGAACTACAAACCACTGCTCAATGAAATAAAAGAGGATACAAATAAATGGAAGAACATTCCATGCTCATGGGTAGGAAGAATCAATATCGTGAAAATGGCCATACTGCCCAAGGTAATTTATACATTCAATGCCATCCCCATCAAGCTCCCAATGACTTTCTTCACAGAATTGAAAAAAAAAAAAACTACTTTAAAGTTCATATGGAACCAAAAAAGAGCCCGCATTGCCAAGTCAATCCTAAGCCAAAAGAACAAAGCTGGAGGCATCATGCTACCTGACTTCAAACTATACTACAAGGCTACAGTAATGAAAACAGCATGGTACTGGTACCAAAACAGAGATATAGACCAATGCAACAGAACAGAGCCCTCAGAAATAATGCCAAACATCTACAACTATCTGATCTTTGAGAAACCTGACAAAAACAAGAAATGGGGAAAGGATCTGGGAAAACTGGCTATCCATATGTAGAAAGCTGAAACTGGATCCCTTCCTTACACCTTATACAAAAATTAATTCAAGATGGATTAAAGACTTAAATGTTAGACCTAAAACCATAAAAACCCTAGAAGAAAACCTAGGCAATACCATTCAGGACATAGGCATGGGCAAGGACTTCATGTCTAAAACGCCATAATCAATGGCAACAAAAGCCGAAACTGACAAATGGGATCTAATTAAACTAAAGAGTTTCTGCACAGCAAAAGAAACTACCATCCGAATGAACAGGCAACCTGCAGAATGGGAGAAAATTTTTGCAATCTACTCATCTGACAAAGGGCTAATATCCAGAATCTACAAAGAACTCAAACAAATTTACAAGAAAAAAACAAACAACCCAATCAACAAGTGAGCAAAGGATATGAACAGACACTTCTCAAAAGAAGACATTTATGCAGCCAAAAGACACATGAAAAAATGCTCATCATCACTGGCCATCAGAGAAATACAAACCAAAACCATAATGAGATACTATCTCACAACAGTTAGAATGGCAATCATTAAAAAGTCAGGGAACTACAGGTGCTGGAGAGGATGGGGAGAAATAGTCCCACCACTTTTACACTGTTGGTGGGACTGTAAACTAGTTCAACCATTGTGGAAGTCTGTGCGGCAATTCCTCAGGGATCTAGAACTAGAAATACCATTTGACCCAGCCATCCCATTACTGGGTATATACCCAAAGGATTATAAATCATGCTGCTATAAAGACTCATGCACACGTATGTTTATTGAGGCACTATTCACAATAGCAAAGACTTGGAACCAACTCAAATGTCCAACAATGATAGAATGGATTAAGAAAATGTGGCACATATACACCATGGAATACTATGCAGCCATAAAAAATGATGAGTTCATGTCCTTTGTAGGGACATGGATGACGCTGGAAACCATCATTCTCAGCAAACTATCGCAAGGAAGAAAACCAACCACCACATGTTCTCACTCATAGGTGGGAATTGAACAATGAGAACACATGGACACAGGAAGGGCAACATCACACACCCAGGCCTGTTGTGGCGTGGGGGGAGGGGGGAGGGATAGCATTAGGAGATATGCCTAATGTAAATGACGAGTTAATGGGTGCAGCACACCAACATGGCACATGTATACATATGTAACAAACCTGCATGTTGTGCACATGCACCCTAAAACTTGAAGTATAATAATAATAATAAAAAAGCACACAATTTGAAGCCAGACAGACTTGGATTTAAATTGCTGTTCTGCACCCTTCACTGTAGAAAGAAACAACCTAGGTGCCCATCAACAATGGATTGAATAAAGAAAATGTGGTACATATACACCATGGAATACTATGCAGCCATAAAAAGAAACAAAATGTCACCCTTGGCAGCAATGGGGATGCAGCTTGGGGCCATTATCCTAAACAAATTAAGGCAGGAACAGAAAGTCAAATACCACATTTTCTCACTTATAAGTGGGAGCTAAAAATGGTTACTCAGGGACATAAAGTTGCAATAGTAGATGCTGGGGACCGCTAGAGGGTTGAAAAACTATTGTGTATGATGCTCAGCAGCTGGGTGATGCGCCCAATACCTCAGACTTCCGTATCACACAGTATACCCAGGTAACAAACATGCACATGTATCCCCTGCATCTAAAATAAAAGTTGGATTTATTTTTTAAAAGGCACTTAAGATCAAATTGATGATATTAATATTACTATGATAGTTATTTGTAATTATTATACTTAGAAAACTTCAAAACTCAGAAATTTTGTTTTATTTCATACTAGATATGTTTTTAGATAGCATATCCTTCTCTATTAATATTATCTTCAATTACCTAAGCTACATGATATAGTCTGTTGCTCTTTGGAGGTGTCAAAACACTTCCAAAATTTGTCAAATACCTTAAAAAGGAATGCCAACAGATGAACTTAGTTTTCAGCCTTAAAAGCAAGGTAAAGATTCATAATAAATGGATAAATAAATAATCATATGTAAAAAGTAAATAAGTAAATAAATTGCTGTTCTGTGACTGCAGAGTTATTTATTCTATTTGAGTCTTACTTCCTTCATCAGTAAAATTGGAATCCTCAGTGAATTTCACATAATTGAGAGAGCATGTATAATGTACTTAGCACATCTTAGGTGCTCATCAAAATTTAACATAATTGAAAACACATGGGTTTTATAGTCTGAAAAATAATGCTTCGATTTTTCTTATCTGTCTGTAATGAGTAATGTACCATCCTCATTGGTTTGTTATAAAGATTAAATCATGTATATAGCGTGCAACAGAAAGGCTAGAATACAATAGGTGTCGCGTAAGTCTTTTTGATGGAATGGTTATACTCCATGTCTCATGTTTTATTCCTAGTCCAGTGCTTTGCATATAGTAAGGTTCTGAATGATTATTTTTACCCAGTAAAATGAATTTTATTTCTTTATATTCATGTGCTTTTACTCATGCTGTTCCAGTAAGACATGGCATGCTATTTTACTTGAAAATATATAGAAAGTACATGGGGTACTGTGTGCAGTAGGAGGTAGATTAGTAAAATAAATAAGTAAACACTTTTCCTCATTGAAAACACACATTAATTATAAAGGAAAATTTAAAACACTGATGAAATCATAAAGCAGCCTAAATGTATTAATAAAGATCCCATGATTCTTTTCTAATTCCATTCTGTAATTGTAAAGGATATGAGGCAACATCGCCAATTTAAGCTAAAGGCATCCAAAAACCCAAGTTTGGATGGCAACCCAAGTCCTCTGAATTCTCATCCTGGTTTTCATGTAGTCCTTTCACTGTGTGTTTGTGTCTAACTTTGCAATTGATAAAGTACTAATCTGTTCCTGTACATTTGGCTTTTCAGCACCACTTAAACACAAATCGTCATTTTGTATGCCCATGCTCGGGGCTGCAATTCCTCAGGTAAGGTTTTTTTTAACACCCCCTCTGTTCCTCTCTAGTGGAAACCTCTAACAGCACATTTGAATGTTGTGCAGTGTTTATTTCAAATGCTTTAGCCCATCACAACAGGCTTTTATATTGTAATATCTGTTTGAAATAAAAAGTCTTCTGAGAGAATAAAATTTGTGGCAAAAAAGCTTCATTGTATATCGTCCTCACCTATACCCCAATCTTTCTTTTTCTCTCTCCTTGCTTCCGCACTCTGCACCATACATATATATTATCCACATGATGATAACACCGACACTTTATTAACTTGGTCACAAAATTATGGCAACTTGATGGAAGACTTCATTATCATATATTAAAACACCTTAAATAGACAATAGTTTCAATGCCTTTTTATCTGGATGGTGTGATAGTGTTTTCTTTATTTAGATGATCTTTCTGGTGCACATACGACCTCACATCCACATTCACTGTCACACATACACTCACTCCCTCTCACACACACATCTCACATCCACACATTCCCTTATTGCCCTTAACATCAAGGAGATGTCCTAGGTGGCAGAACTCCCAATCAAGCTGGCTTAAGCAAAAAGAAGACCTATTGGTCCACATAATTTAACTGTACCAGGGTCAGTACTGGCTTCTGGGAAGACTTGATGCATGGGCAGTACTTGATCGATAATTTTTGACTGAATGTCGATTTTCTGGTCATTCAGTCTGGTTAGACATGGATCAACTGCAGCTGGCTAACATCTTCTTTGCTAATCAGAGGTGATACCCCAGATTGTCTAGATCTGTGATTTTCAGCCCCAATAGAATATTAAAATCTTCCTGAAACTTGAAGAAATACCAAGGCCCAGACTTCAGCCCTAGAAAATCTAATTCTGTTAGTTTGGGTGGGAAGCTTGTCCCTGATTTGCTTAAAGATCTCAAGTGTTCTAAAGTACTTCACAGTAGAGCTCCATTGATTTATCTGCCTTTTATCCCCCACTACACTCTTGGTGGCTTATTTTTTTCTTTCTTATTTTTTTTAAATTTTGGATTCGGGGGGTACATGTGCAGGGTTGTTACATGGGTACATTGCCTGACTCTGGGGACTGGGAAATGGATAGTCTCGTCACCCAGGTGGTGAGCATGGTACTCAGTAGGTAGTTTTTCAGCCAATGCCTCCTCTCTCCCTCCTGCATCTAGTAGTCCCCAGTGTCTTGTTCCTGTCTTTGTGTCTATGTGTATTCATTGTTTAGCTCTCACTTATAAGTAAGAAGATATAGTATTTGATTTTCTGTTATTGCATTAATTTCCTTAGGTTAATAGCCTCCAGCAGTATCCATGTTACTGTATAGGAAATTATTTTGTTCTTTTTTATGGCTTTGTAGAATTCTGTGGTGTATATGTACATTTTCCTTATCCAGTCCACTCTTGATGGGCACCTAGGTTGATGATTTGTCTTCTTGAATTGCCTCTCCTAGGGCTGTTGCTGGCCATTTGCTCCTAAGAGGCTGAAGCTACGGTCTTTAAAAGAAGAATCTAGAAGGGAGATTCTCCAAATTCTTAGAAAACAGAAAATCTAATTATAAAAAGGAAAACGATCCATTAAAAAGAAATCTCCAGAGTAAAGACACAGACCTGAGAACAGAAGATACAAAACAAACAAAACAGAAAGTAGATGGAGCAGAATGGAAGCTAGTTGGAGAATAAAGTAAATAGGACCATAGATATTAGCCAAGACTGAAATATATTGACATGTCACTGTCTAGTCTGAGTTTGCAATAAAAGCACCTGGTTTGATCAGTCAATCTGCATTGACTTAAACTGCACTTGGTTCCATTTGCACACACAAAGTATGTAATGTGGCTAAGAGCAGCTGAATGAATTTGTTTCAATATAATCAAAGATAAATATAAACAATGCTATCAGAGTGGCCACACCATGGTCTCTCTATGGGCTGGAAAAAGCAAAATCTAAATGCTTATCTCTCTGAGACTGGCTAAAAGTAACTTAACAGGCAGTAACTGTTGGCGGCATCTGCATTTGTTTCTCCAAAGTCCATTCCCCTAACTTTGTGTACAGTACAGTTTGTCCTCTGGTGAGATTGTGGCAAATAATGCTTATGCTCTCATGATTGCTAAGACCCAGAGCAAGAATATTTCTGCCACTGAATGATGATCTTTACCATGAATAATTACAAACGAGGCAAGCAATCATTTGTGTCATGGTTCATCGGACCCGTCAGAGTGAAACAAAGACATTTTTCACTCTCTTCCCTCTACCGTATGCACTATTAAAATGCCTTTGTAGATCACTGTAAATAATTCAAATGTTTATTAAAAACTCTTCTGGAAGATCAAGGAATCATAGATAATAGGAGGAAATACCATATAATTCATTTTTATATGGCATACTCCATCCATCATATGGCAAAATGCTTCAAGGCGAAATGCAAAGGGAGGCAGGTTTTTCAAGCAAGACTCAAAGAGGAGGTCATTTAAAATAATCTGAAGATAAGTGTTTTCAAAAGTGATCCTTTTCTTCTTAGGGTTCCAGTTTTCTTTCCAGCTCACATCATTTCTCAAATTTAGCTCTGGCATTTAGTTATTTTAATCATGATGCCAACTGATGGACTTGACTTACAGTAAGGAAAACGGGAAGGCATATTGCCTGACCTTTGCAATAAGTCTGTCTTCTGCATCCCTCTGTGTTTTGCATGCATGCAGAGAAAAAAAAATGTGAAACCCCTCCAACTCCCCCTGGGGTAAGGGCATTATGGTTCAACAGCATTGCCATGCTGTGCTACACCTTCCATGCTGGCCTGTGTGATCAAATAGGGGAAGCCAAGTCAAAACTGTTATCCTCATCTAATCTGTGATGTTCTTGGTTGAGTGTGGTGAACTGCCCCCAGCCCAAGTGATTCTTACAGTTATTAATAGCAAAGTAATCATATCTGCCATTGATTAGGTACCTAACATGTACCATGCACTGTATTAGGCAGTTTTGATACAATGAGGGTGGTATTGTCTTGTGGTGATTAAGTTGCTGGCTTGGGAGCCAGATTGAAGAGGTTGGGGTACTGACTTCAAACTTACTAGTTTCCTGATTTGAACGAGTCATTTTAACCTCTCCAAGCCTCAGATTCTGCATCTGTAAAGTCCTTGTATTGATGAAACCTGTTGGTTCTTTGGCTTCTGTTTGCATTCTGGTCCCTTGTCTTATGGTGGTCCTCTTGTCATATGGTGGCCCAGTCTGAGGAGTCCCTAAGCCCCCACAAAGTTGCTGTTTATAGACTCAAAGCTAGAACTCTTCCCATCCTATCAGTCACAGGCCTATCCACAATTCTAGGTATTTCAAACAGATGGAATTTAATTCAGGAAACTGGTTACAATGGAGTAGAAAGGACTACAAGAGTGAAAAGGAGATGGGAACATGCCTGGAGGAGCAAAACCACAAATAAGTAATACTCTCAGAGATAGGAAGCTGCAAATTCTGAGTACACCTGTGAGAAGGTGATAGCCTGTACCTATTGGTGCAGTTAGCTGTGTAATTGTAGCTACTTCCACTGAAGGAGTGCTGCCTTGACAAAGCCAAGAATTGGAGAAAATATGAATCCCCTGCCTAGGCTGCTGGATTCTGAAATCACTCTATCTCTGCTACTCTACATCAGCCACCACGCTGCAAGATCCAGAAGCAGGGACAGTCTGCTTTCCTCCTGCCTTCTGATTTCCCAAAAGAAAGCTAGATAAGCCATGAGCCTGAAAAGTACTGTTTGCCAACTCCTAACCCCAGCAGTACAATGCAGAGTGTGAAAGCAGGTGGTGTGTAGCTGAGAGACAACAGGCAAAAACTCAGCACAGTAAATGATAATCTAACCTAACTTTAACCTTTTAGTTGAATCTCTACATCCAGTGCATAGGGTCATGGTTTTGCCTATGCCAAGCAATCATTAGATTTGCATTGTAGTAACAAAGAATACCAATGGCTTACAAGGGCAAGTGATTCCCTCATCAGAGTGAAATGCATAGACCTGTGAAGTGACTTTTCTGAAATTTACCCAGAACTAAATGAGACGGAATGTTGACAGCCTTCTAGTGAATTTGGGCATTCAGGCAACCAACTCTACATAATTAAAAAACATCTACCCACCAATTTTTTTTAAATCATTATTTTCCTTAGAAATTTCAGTTTGTTTTAGATTTTCTAGATTTTATATACAACCCTGAACATTACTAGATGACCCCTATCACTTTTAATGTACCAATGTGACATGAAGAATGGTCCTCTCTAAAACACATGAATCAATGATCTATTTCTGTCTGAGTGAGCCCAGAGCAATAGAAGTAGATACTGGCTAATCCTTAGCTTAGCTTAGCTTAGCTGACTGGTGATGAAGTACATTTTACTCTCCCACCCTATGCAGTTAGTCAGAATCATGCATTTAATCTGGCCAAGTGGACTGTGAGCAGAAGGACATCACAGGCTGTGAAAAACACCTGCACAACAGTCTAACCCTCTCTTCTCCTTTAGGGAAAGTGGAGGCTGCCCACTTAAATGGTGATGACATAAGATGGAAAAAGCCTGAGTCTCCACATGGATAAGGGCAGAACAGGCTTCAGCTTAGTGAAGATTTATATTCAGTCTAACACCTCTGTGAAGCTCTCACCTTCGATTGGGTCTCTTTTTTTCTGCTTATGGGACCAACATTACTTATTACTTACACTTGAAACTTTGTAGTCAGTTTCCCCCTTCTTCTTTACCCCAGTTATCATGTACTGTCAATTCTGTTTCCACAATGTCTCTCAAAAATAGCTTTATTATCTGCTGCTATACCTACTGCTTTGGTCCATGAGCTTGTCAACTCGGACTATTTCAACAGCCTCCCAAATAGTCTCCTTGACTTGGACTTTGCCTGTTTCAAGTCATTAACTTGGATACCCAAACACCATATTAATCTTCCAAGGCTGCGTGAAGCTTTGGTCAGTCCTATCTCTTATAATGCAACTTTTTATGGCTACCCAGTGCCTAAACGATGAAGTATGATTTTTTTAACCTGGAATTTTTGACTCCCTATGCTCTGGCCAACCCAATAATTCTTTCTCAAACCCTATGTTTATATCTTTTTGGGAATGCATTGGGGAAAATGAAGTGAATTCTTTTTATTTCAATTCTAGCCATTCATGCTTCTGTGGGCCAGGACACTCATGCAACCAAATAATAGATATGGACTATTTTATTGGTCAGGCATGGCTGGGCTTATCCTCTGATAACAAATAAACCCAAGGTCTCAGTGGCTTATGATAAAGTTTCTTCCTTAAATGCCCCCAAAGTCTGCTCTATGTTGAGTACTCTCCAGACCTATCCACTTGACTTCTGCTCAGTGATGTAGTGATCCAATCTGTTTTCATTTTCTGGCCTCATCTTCCAAATAAGTGGCATCCACACTCACCCACCAAAGAGGAAGAAATGGGTGGAAGATTATGAGGAGTATTTTTATTACATGACACAGGAGTAATGCTCATCACTTCTGCTCATAATCTACTAAGACAATAGTCACATGGCCCTCACTACTTCAAAGAACTAGAAATTGGAATATAACTTTCTCACTGCCCACAGAAGGGAGGAGACCCAGATGTGGATCTCACTGGTAATATCCAGTTCACCATTCTTGCTCAATAATTAATTCTGCTGCTCCATTGTAAAAAAAAACTACAATTATTTCTTATAATAAAACTGATATACAATAGAATGTGTTTTCATTACTATTGAAATTAATAAGAGTTGAAAGAAATTCTGCACTCGTGGTCATTGCTTTAGATGGTGTCCTCAACCTGGCAAAATTAATTCTTTAATTTGTGAATCTTTGTTGAAAATTATTTGAGAAGCACTGAATATATACGATTATCTCTTCCGGATAAAGCTAGCAATTTTATCCGTGACATAATTTCCTACTTGCATTTCTATTATTGCCTTATATTGTGACAACATCTTTTATTTAACCATATGATATATGACTTTTCTCTACTTACTTTTTTAAGTTAAGGGATCTTTTTAAAGTTTCTACAATTCTCTAACATTAAAAATTTAGCCTAATACTTTGTAGGACCCATTATAGATTTCTGCTTAGGGAAAATAAAAAATTCAAGCCTCTAACATAATTCATGTAATGTCATGTCCCCAAAGCCACTGAGAGTAAAGGGAGGTGTTCCAGGAAAGTTGATGAAGGAATCTGGAAGCTCCAAATTTCAAGGTCAGTCAGTAGGACTAGCTATAAGTTGTGAGGCCTAATTTCATCGAAAGAGTTTTTTTTTAATCAGCATACTAATACACCCAATGTAATGTAACAATAACAGAAATATAGTAGCTACATGAGTGAGCCATTTTGTTTGAAAACTAAAGAAAATTTTCTGGCAACTGACATGGTCCCTTTAGAGCCTCTCATATACCTGCCAAATGTTGATAATTCTGACTTGTGGAAGCATAGGTTAAGGCAGCAGATAAGAAAAAATAAAGCATCTGAAAACATCACATATGCATTCTTATGAAATGGTTTATGAATTGATTACTAAATAAATGAGTGAATTAATGATGTCTCCAACCAAAATCTTTAAGATAAAACAATGTAAAAGAAAATGAAGTATACATCTTAACCAGGTAGTTTTTGTTTGTTTGTTTGTTTTCAACTTTCTAATTGCTTTATTTCCTAAGGACTGTATTTACAAAAACCAAATCCTCCTGAATATGCCTTTTAGAATATAGATTCTGTGTAGCTTCTGTTAATCAAATTTATCAGAAAGAGTCTGTCAAGATTTGGCAGTACTTCTATTTTCTGTGTTGTATCAGAAAGTTTAGTCATAGATTCTGTTATTAGAACTCTTCTATGAAACTTGATAATTTCGGTATTCATGGATAAAGCCAATATTGAAATCTTTTAAAACGTGGTGATTTTCCAACTGTATTAGTTTCCTACGGTGACCATAATAAATTCTCACAAACTGGATAGATTTATTAAAAAAGCAGAAATTTATTCTGTCATAGCTCTGGAGGTTAAACGTCTGAAATTAAGGTGTTGGCAGGGCCATCCTCTCTGTGAAGGCTCCAGGGGAGAATCTGTTTCATGCCATTCTCAGCTTCTAGTGTTGGTGGCAATCCTTGGCATTCTTTTGTCTTGTAGGTGCATATCTAGATATATATGCATCTGGATGTATCTCTACATCTCTGCCTCCTCATCACATGGTATTCTCCCCTGTGTCTCTATCTCCATGTTGCTTCTTATAAGGACACGAGTTTTATTGGATTAGGACCCACTCTAATGACCTCATCCCAAGTTGATTACCTCTGCAAAGACTCTTTCTAAATAAATATTGCATTCACAGGTACTGGGGGTGAGGACTTCAGCATAACTTTTTTTGGGGATACAGTTCTAACAATAGCACCATCTGAAGAATGTCTTTTGGCTAAGGTAAACAAAGAGCTGCAATGGTAAACCTTGAAAGCAGTTGTCTAAGAATTGCTAGCACCTTCTCTACCTACATGCTATTACCTGATGCATTTTCTTACCTTAACCATTCATGTAGGAAAACATTGGTGACATCCATAAATTTAATTCAGAGTCACAAGATATAGCTTCAATTCTGGCCAGAATGTTAGGTCTGCTTCTGTAGAGTTGAAATAAGTGCTAACAATTCTTCCTTAAATTGGTAGATTTTATGCCCACCCCACACCAAATTAAGGAACATTGCCTGAGCTTCTTTTCCTTCTCAAGGAACATATTCTATGTCATTTGCTTTCTTAATCAGCATAAGAATTCAGGAAAAGTAACCTAATCACAGGGAAGTTGGGAATAGAAAGAAAAAATTGAAAATCCAAACTCAGATCCATAAATTCTTGAAAATGTTTCATTTGATGATATTTACCTGTTAATTAGGATCAAAGGAGAAAATTCATATAATAAGGCTCATAAAAGCATACTGGCTGAATATTAATGAATTCAATGATGGGCTTCTGTTTCCAGGCAACCGAATATTCCCCAAGAGTATTAATGTTGGTTGTAAAATAACAACAACGGTTCCGGCAGGAGTGCTTGTGACTGTGGAATTAAGACTTGATCCTCCAGGCCACATTTCTACTCTTCCTGGATTGTGGATTGCAATGCTTGCTTCAAAGAGGACTGCTCTCATTGTCTCCATCATTTTTGTCACTAACATGAGCTGCACACTCAAAATGCAATGGGGATCTAGTTAAAAATAGATTTAGCACCAGTAAGAAGAATAGTGAACAGAGCAACTGTCCACACAGTGTCAAGGAACACAAAGCTGAGATCTGCATTATAATCCTCATTCTGTTGCTAACAGATTGATGTCTATGAACTTCTGTTTCCTCATGTATCCACCAATTTTTTTTTAAGACAAAAAGAGAAAAGAGTGAAAAGGAAACTAGGAAGAAAAGGGAGGGAGGGGAAAGCTATTGGTTCAGTGGAACTACAGTAACATTTCAAGTTCTGACTGTGATGTTTCCTTTTAGGCATAATGAAAAAGGATGAAAAATACTACTCAAATGTTAAATGGAGGTGCTAGTAGAGAAAACTCAGAAATGAGCCAACATGCTGGAAAGATACGTTTGGGGTTCAAAGCCAAGTTTCAATAAATCACAGGTGCAGCTTCAGAGAAAGCAACTAGTGGTCTCCTATTACACTGATTGTCTAATTAACTCCAGCCCTGGCCTAGCCCAAAGTATGCTTCTCCCCTCCTCATGCTATGCCCCCAGCCACAGCTGCACCGAACTCTCTCCTGATAGAATCAGAATGAACAAGTGATATGGAGTAAGACTTATATCCTCACCAGCCTTAATCTCCTCATCCAATCTACCCAGCATAGCAAACCAGAAAGATGAGCTACTCCCCAGCCAGTTGGCATAGCTGCACACTCCCTTCTGCCTGTTCTCGGTGCCGGCTAATTGATTTAAAAAGAAGGACCTTGTTTATGGTGTATGAACAGGGATATGAGTGCTGGTGGAGGCATTTTACACTAGGCATATGCACCAGTACGCAGGAAGAGGTTTACTACTTGGTTCTCTCCATAGATCAGCCCCTAGTCCAGAGACAAAGTTGTCTCCACTTTTCATTCCTAGGCTTCATAAAACTCATGCATTGGTAGGAACAAATCTCCATTTGCAACACAGTTACAGGCAGCTACTAGCTTGTAATTTATTCAAGATTTATATCTTACACTGCTCTGTTCTCATTAACAATGTATTTCATATTTTACAGCCTAAACTAGAAAAAAAATATGTTTCCTTGAATGCAAACTAGTTATTGACATGATTTCCCAGAAGGGAGATTAACATAAGAAAAGGGAAAATGTCACTGTGGCCATGGGCATAGGCCATGGGGTCAGGCACACCTATTTTCCAGTGGCAGCTGCCTCTTTAAAGAACTGTGAACCCAGGACAAGTTACTTGTTCTCTCTGAGCTTCTGTTTGTCTTCAAAATATGGAACTGACTACATAAGGTTGTTATGAGAATTAAATTAGATAGTGCATTTTAAAACATTTTGTAACTGGGTAGAATAATTTCAATCACTCAATATGTGGTAGTTATTATTACAATGACGATCATTATTATTATTATGGAAATATGCAAAGAGCGAACATCTTCAAATTGAGATGGTTAGAACTATTTCTAAAAGAAAGAAAATGAAAGCAGTAAAAAGTGCCCATTGAAAATGGGCCATTGATCTAACAAATATATATAAAAATGCTCAACATCACTAATCATCAGTGAAGTGCAAATTAAAACCACAATGAGATATCACCTCACCCCAGTTAGAATGACTTAAAAAAAAGACAAAAAATATTAATAAATACTGGCAAGGGTGTGGACAAAGGGGAACTCTTATGCACTATTTGTGGGAATGTAAATTACTACAGCCATTATGGAAAACAGTATGAAAGTTCCTCAAAAAATTAAAAATAGAACTAACATATGATGTAGAAATCCTATGCTCCCAAGCTTCCTAAAATTCATGCATTGGTAGGAACAAATCTCCATTTGCAAAATGGAGATCTAGAAATCCCATCATTAGGTATATAGGTAAAGAAAAAAAATCAGTATATCAAAAAGATAGCTGCACTCCCATGTTTGCTGGAGCATTATTCACAATTGCCAAGATATGGATTCAACCTAAATATTCATCTACAGATGAATGGATGAAGAAAATGTGGTATATATATATATATGGATGTGTGCATATATATGTGTATATATATGTATATATGTACATATACATACCTGGGAATACTATTCAGCCATAAAACAGAATAAAATCCTGTCTTTTGTGGCGACAGGGATGAACCTGATGGCCATTATGTTAAATGAAATAAGCCAGGCACAGACAGAAAGACAAACACCAGATGATGTCACTCATATATGGAATCTAAAAACATGGATTTCTTAGAAGTAGAGAGGGGAATAGTGGTTACCAGAGACTAGGGAGGGTAGGGAGAAGGGGGGACCTGAAGAGGTTGGTCAACAGGTACAAAGCTACAGTTAGACAGGAAGAATAACTTCTGGTGTTCTATTACCAGTAGGTTAATTACAGCAAATAATGATGTAGTGTATATTTCAAGATAGAGAAGATTTTGAATGTTACTACCACAAAGAAATGATAAGGTTTAAAGTGATTAACATGGCAATAACCTTGATTTGGTCATTATATAATGTATATATGCATGGAAACATCATACTGTACCCATAAAGATATAAAATTATTTTGTGTCAATTATAAATAAAGAATGAATAAAAAAGAAAATTGTCCGTTGATGTTACAAAGAATAGACATGATTTGGAGAAAAATCTAGATTCTCATCTGCATTCTGGCATGCTAGCACATACTTTCTTTGTAGGGTGGGCAGGGCATATATAAGTCACTTAAAATATCCAATTTTATAATCATCAGGTGTAAAACAGGGATAGTAATGGCCATGCCATTGGGTTACTGGTATTAGGAATTGTAAAGGGAATAAGAGTCATGAGAACATTTTGATATGTTATGAAATGTCATAAGATGATTATGTCTTTGAATATTGTCCTCTTTGAGCCCTCTTTTTCCTTCATTGATTTTGTTACAGTGCTACTCCTTCTTAGCACTCTGTGGGTGCTCTGTAAATAAGATCCCTTTCATATGACTCCCCTTGCAAAACTGAGTAGCTGAAGTTACCCAGGAGCTCTCACTCCTCTAGGTTCCAAACCACAGTTAAAGAGGCTCCATTGGCCTGCTGGCCACCTGTAAAACTAACCAAATGAAGGCCTAATGATGGATTCAGTGCTTCCAAATAAAATGTGAATTTGCATATTCAATGACTTAAATAGTATCATGGGAAGTGGTTCTTTGAATTTTATGAGTATGTGAATATCATGGAAGAATTTTAAAAAATACAAATTCCTGGGTCCCCTTTTCTAATTAAGTAGGTTCCAGGAATCATCATTTTTAACACAGTTTCCAGATATTATTGGGGAATGCTGTAAGTAGGAATGTCAGCGTCGAGGCTGGACCAGTGTCTGCATGGATGGCTAGAGGAGCACCCTTAATATCGCAAGCTGGAAAGCTGCCTAATTTCTCAGTGGGTAAATCTACTTACCCTTCTACTCGATCCTGTCATGTTGTATCTCCCTCCAGGGTCCTCTCCACATAGCCATAAAGCAGATTTTCAGGCACTCATTTTCAGTGAGACCTTCCTAAAAGTTGGGTCTTTATTAGGTGGTCTACTTCAGCAACATATCTCCCCTTCACCCAGTACTTTATGCCTTGATAAATACTCTTGTGCTGTTTACTGTACCTTTCTTTGTTCTTTTAAAAAAACATTTTTGGCTGGGCATGGTGCTTACACCTGTAATCCCAGCACTCTGGGAGGCAGAGGCAGGCAGATCACTTGAAGTCAGGAGTTCAAGACCAGCCTGGCCAACATGGGGAAACCCCATCCTTACTAAAAATACAAAAATTAGCTGGGCATGGTGGCTGGCACCTATAATCCCAGCTACTCGGGAGGCTGAGGCAGGATAATTGCTTGAATCTGGGAAGAGGAGGTTGCAATGAGCCGAGATCATGCCACTGCACTCCAGCCTGGACAACAGAGCAAGACTCCATCTTAAAAACAAAATAAAACGGGTGGAACCAAGATGGCCGAATAGGAATAGCTCCAGTCTACAGGTCCCAGCATGAGCGATGCAGAAGACGGGTGATTTCTGCATTTCCAACTGAGGTACTGGGTTCATCACACTGGGGATTGTCAGAAAGTGGGTGCAGGACAGTGGGTGCAGCACACCGAGCATGAGCCAAAGCAGGGCGAGGCATTGCCTCACCTGGGAAGTGCAAGGGGTCAGGGAATTCCCTTTCCTAGTCAAAGAAAGGAGTGACAGATGGCACCTGGAAAATCGGGTCACTTCCACCCTAATACTGCGCTTTTCCAATGGTCTTAGCAAATGTCACACGAGGAGATTATATCTCGCGCCTGGCTCAGAGGGTCCTACACCAACGGAGCCTCGCTCAATGCTAGCAAAGCAGTCTCACATCAAACTGCAAGGCGGCAGCGAGGCTGGGGGAGGGGTACCCTCCATTGCTGAGGCTTGAGTAGGTAAACAAAGCAGCTGGGAACTTGAACTGGGTGGAGCCCACCTCAGCTCAAGGAGGCCTGCCTGCCTCTGTAGACTCCACCTCTGGGGCAGGGCATAGCCAAACAAAAGGCAGCAGAATCCTCTGCAGACTTAAATGTCCCTGTCTGACAGCTTTGAAGAGAGTAGTAGTTCTCCCAGCACGCAGCTGGAGATATGAGAAAGGACAGACTGCCTCCTCAAGTGGGTCCCTGACCCCCAAGTAGCCTAACTGGGAGGCACTCCCCATTAGGGGCAGACTGACACCTCACAAGGCCAGGTGCTCCTCTGAGACAAAACTTCCAGAGGAACGATCAGGCAGCAGCATTTGCTGTTCACCAATATCCTCTGTTCTGCAGCATCTGCTGCTCATACCCAGGCAAACAGGGTCTGGAGCGGACCTCCAGCAAACTCCAACAGACCTGCAGCTGAGGGTCCTGACTGTTAGAAGGAAAATGAACAAACAGAAAGGACATCCACACCAAAACCCCATCTGTACGTCACCATCATCAAAGACCAAAGGTAGATAAAACCACAAAGATGGGGAAAAAACAAAGAAGAAAAACTGGAAACTATAAAAATCAGAGCGCCTCTCCTCCTCCAAAGGAATGCAGCTCTTCACCAGCAACAGAACAAAGCTGGACAGAGAATGACTTTAACGAGTTGAGAGAAGAAGGCTTCAGATGATCAAACTACTCCGAGCTAAAGGAGGAAGTTAGAACTCATGGCAAAGAAGTTAAAAACTTTGAAAAAAATTAGATGAATGGCTAACTAAAACAACCAATGCAGAGAAGTCCTTAAAGGACCTGATGGATCTGAAAACCAAGGCATGAGAACTACGTGACGAATGCACAAGCTTCAGTAGCCGATTCAATGAACTGGAAGAAAGTGTATCAGTGATGGAAGATCAAATGAATGAAATGAAGCGAGAAGGGAAGTTTAGGGAAAAAAGAATAAAAAGAAACAAACAAAGCCTCCAAGAAACATGGGACTATGTGAAAAGACCAAATCTATGTCTGATTGGTGTACCTGAAAGTGATGGGGAGAATGGAACCAATTTGGAAAACACTCTGCAGGATATTATCCAGGAGGACTTCCCCAACATTCACATTCAGGAAATACAGAGAACGCCACAAAGATACTCCTTGAGAAGAACAACTCCAAGACACATAATGTCAGATTCACCAAAGTTGAAATGAAGGAAAAACTGTTAAGGGCAGCCAGAGAGAAAGGTTGGGTTACCCACAAAGGGAAGCCCGTCAGACTAACAGCTGATCTCTTGGCAGAAACTCTGCAAGCCAGAAGAGAGTGTGGGCCAATATTCAAGATTCTTAAAGAAAATAATTTTCAACCCAGAATTTCATATCCAGCCAAACTAAGCTTCATAAGTGAAGGAAAAATAAAATACTTTACAGACAAGCAAATGCTGAGAGATTTCATCACCACCAGGCCTGCCCTACAAGAGCTCCTGAAGGAAGCACTAAACATTGAAAGGAACAACCGGTACCAGCCACTGCAAAAACATGCCAAATTGTAAAGACTATCGAGGCTAGGAAGAAACTATATCAACTAACGAGCAAAATAACCAGCTAACATCATAGTGACAGGATCAAATTCACACATAACAATATTAACCTTAAATGTATATGGGCTAAATGTTCCAATTAAAAGACACAGACTGGCAAATTGGATAAAGAGTCAAGACCCATCATTGTGCTGTATTCAGGAAACCCATCTCATGTGCAGAGACACACATAGGCTCAAAATAAAGGGATGGAGGAAGATCTACCAAGCAAATGGACAGCAAAAAAAGGCAGGGGTTGCAATCCTAGTCTCTGATAAAACAGACTTTAAACCAACAAAGATCAAAAGAGACAAGGCCATTACATAGTGGTAAAGGGATCAATTCAACAGGAAAAGCTAACTGTCCTAAATATATATGCACCCAATACAGGAGCACCCAGATTCATAAAGCAAGTCCTTAGAGACCTACAAAGAGACTTAGACTCCCACACAATAATAATGGGAGACTTTAACACCCCAATGTCAACATTAGACAGATCAATGGGAAAGAAAGTTAACAAGGATATCCAGGAATTGAACTCAGCTCTGCACCAAGTGGACCTAATAGACATCTACAGAACTCTCCACCCCAAATCAGCAGAATATACATTCTTCTCAGTACCACACCACACTTATTCCAAATTTGACCACAAAGTTGGAAGTAAAGCACTCCTCAGCAAATGTAAAAGAACAGAAATTATAACAAACTGTCTCTCAGACCACAGTGTAATCAAACTAGAACTCAGGATTAAGAAACTCACTCAAAGCTGCTCAACTACATGGAAACTGAACAACCTGCTCCTGAATGACAACTGGGTATGTTATGAAATGAAGGCAGAAATAACGATGTTCTTTGAAACCAACGAGAACAAAGACACAACATACCAGAATCTCTGAGACACATTCAAAGCAGTGTGTAGAGGGAAATTTATAGCACTAAATGCCCACAAGAGAAAGTAGCAAAGATATAAAATTGACACCCTAAGATCACAATTAAAAGAACGAGAGAAGCAAGAGCAATCACATTCAAAAGCTAGCAGAAGGCAAGAAATAACTAAGATCAGAGCAGAGCTGAAGGAGATCGAGACACAAAAAACCCTTCAAAAAATCAATGAATCCAGGAGCTGGTTTTTTGAAAAGATCTACAAAATTGATAGACCACCAGCAAGACTAATAAAGAAGAAGAGAGAAAAGAATCAAAGAGACACAATAAAAAATGATAAACGGGATATCACCACTGACACCACAGAAATACAAACTACCATCAGAGAATACTATAAACACCTCTACGCAAATAAACTAGAAAATCTAGAAGAAATGGATAAATTCCTTGACCCATACATACACCTTTCCAGGATTAAACCAGGAAGAAGTTGAATCTCTGAATAGACCAATAACAGGCTCTGAAATTGAGGCAATAATTAATTGCTTACCAACCAAAAAAAGTCCAGGACCAGACGGATTCACAGCTGAATTCTACTAGAGGTACAAGGAGGAGCTGGTACCATTCCTTCTGAAACTATTCCAATCAATAGAAAAAGAGGGAATCCTCCCTAACTCATTATATGAGGCCAGCATCATCCTGATACCAAAGCCTGGCAGAGACACAACAAAAAAAGAGAACTTTAGACCAATATCCCTGATGAACATCATTGCAAAAATCCTCAATAAAATACTGGCAAACCGAATCCAGCAGCACATCAAAAAGCTTATCCACCATGATCAAGTGGGCTTCATCCCTGGGATGCAAGGCTGGTTCAACATATGCAAATCAAAAGTCATAATCCAGCATATAAACAGAACCAACAACAAAAACCACATGATTATCTCAATAGATGCAGAAAAGGCCTTTGTTAAAATTTAACAACCCTTCATGCTAAAAACTCTCAATAAATTAGGTATTGATGGGATGTATCTCAAAATAATAAGAGCTGTCTATGACAAACCCACAGCCAATATCATACTGAATGGACAAAAACTGGAAGCATTCCCTTTGAAAACTGGCACAAGACAGGGATGCCCTCTCTCACCACTCCTATTCAACATAGTGTTGGAAGTCCTGGCCAGGGCAATCAGGCAGGAGAAGGAAATAAAGGGTATTCAATTAGGAAAAGAGGAAGTTAAATTGTCCCTGTTACAGATGACATGATTGTGTATCTAGAAAACTCCATCGTCTCAGCCCAAAATCTCCTTAAGCTGATAGGCAACTTCAGCAAAGTCTCAGGATACAAAATCAATGTGCAAAAATCACAAGCATTCTTATACACCAATAACAGACAAACAGAGAGCCGAATCATGAGTGAACTCCCATTCACAGTTGCTTCAAAGAGAATAAAATACCTAGGAATCCAACAAGGGACGTGAAGGACCTCTTCAAGGAGAACTACAAACCACTGCTCAATGAAATAAAAGAGGATACAAATAAATGGAAGAACATTCCATGTTCATGGGTAGGAAGAATCAATATCATGAAAATGGCCATACTGCCCAAGGTAATTTATACACTCAGTGCCATCCCCATCAAGCTACCAATGACTTTCTTCACAGAAGTGGAAAAAACTACTTTAAAGTTCATATGGAACCGAAAAAGAGCCCGCATTGCCAAGTCAATCCTAAGCCAAAAGAACAAAGCTATAGGCATCATGCTACCTGACTTCAAACTATACTACAAGGCTACAGTAACCAAAACAGCATGGTACTGGTACAAAAAAAGAGATATAGACCAATGGAACAGAACAAAGCCCTCAGAAATAATGCTGCATATCTACAACCTTCTGATTTTTGACAAAGCTGACAAAAACGAGAAATGGGGAAAGGATCTGGGAAAACTGGCTAACCATATGTAGAAAGCTGAAACTGTATCCCTTCCTTACACCTTCTACAAAAATTAATTCAAGATGGATCAAGGACTTAAATGTTAGACCTAAAACCATTAAAACCCTAGAAGAAAACCTAGGCATTACCATTCAGGACATAGGCATGGGCAAGGACTTCATGTCTAAAACACCAAAAGCAATGGCAACAAAAGCCAAAATTGACAAATGGGATCTAATTAAGCTAAAGAGCTTCTGCACAGCAGAAGAAACTACCATCAGAGTGAACAGGCAACCTACAGAATGGGAGAAAATTTTTGCAATCTACTCATCTGACAAAGGGCTAATATTCAGAATCTACAAAGAACTCAAACAAATTTACAAGAAAAAAACAAACAACCCCATCAAAAAGTGGACGAAGGATATGAACAGACATTTCTCAAAAGAAGACATTTATGCAGGCAAAAGACATGAAAAAATGCTCATCATCACTGGCCATCAGAGAAATGCAAATCAAAACCACAATGAGATACCATCTCACACCAGTTAGAATGGCGATCATTAAAAAGTCAAGAAACAACAGGTGCTGGAGAGGATGAGGAGAAATAGGAACACTTTTACACTGTTGGTGGGACCGTGAACTAGTTCAACCATTTTGGAAGTCAGTGTGGCGATTCCTCAGGGATCTAGAACTAGAAATACCATTTGACCCAGCAATCCAATTACTGGATATATACCCAAAGGATTATAAATCATGTTGCTATAAAGACACATGCACACGTATGTTTATTGCGGCACTATTCACAGTAGCAAAGACTTGGAACCAAACCAAATGTCCAACAATGATAGATTGGATTAAGAAAATGTGGCATATATACACCATGGAATACTATGCAGCCATAAAAAACGATGAGTTCATGTCCTTTGTAGGGATGTGGATGAAGCTAGAAACCATCATTCTCAGCAAACTATCGCAAGGACAAAAAACCAAACACTGCATGTTCTCACTCATAGGTGGGAAGTGAACAATGAGAACACTTGGACACAGGAAGGGGAACAACACACACCGGGGCCTGTTGTGGGGTGGGGGGAGGGTGGGAGGGATAGCATTTGGAGATATACCTAATGTTAAATGAGGAGTTACTGGGCGCAGTACACCAACGTGGCACATGTATACATATGTAAATAAACAGCACATTGTGCACATGTACCCTAAAACTTAACGTATAATTAAAAACAAAACAAAACATTTTTTATTGATATATCTTAGTTGTACATACTTTGGGGGTACATGTGATATTTTGATACATATATACAATAAGTAATCAAACTAAGGTTAATTGGGATATCCTCCATCTTTAGTATTTATCTTTTGTGTTGGGAACATCATAATTCTTTTCTTCTATTTTTGAAATATACAATAAATTATGGTTAACTGTAATTTTCCTACCATACTATCAAATGCTAGAAATTATTCTTTCTATTTAATTGTACTTTTGTAGCCATGAACCAACTTTTCTCCATCAACCCCTCCCTGCTTCGTTTCCCAGCCTCTGGTAATCAACATTCTACTCTCTACCTCCACTTCCACTTTTGTTTTAGCTCTCACATATGAGTGAGAACACGTGATTTTTGTGTTTATCTTGCCTTTCTTTGTCCTTGCTAGCCTTTCTCAGACCCTTCTCTCCTGCTTCACCTGACCGTCTTCTAGAAAACCTGTCCTGAGATCCTCAGGCAAAGCTAAGCCATTTCTCTGGCATCTCATAGCACTGTGAGAAGCAAGTTGAGATCACTGGTTTGCATGTTTTTCTTCCTTTCACTAGGCTGAATTCCTGTATGGTACTGATGATACTTCATTCATTTCTGTACCTCCAGAGCCTCACGTAGATGTATAAATATATGCGATTCTATCTTAAATGTTCTTTTCTCATCATTTTCTCTTTTCTTTCCTCAATGGAAGGATATAGAACATTGATCTCCCCACTTCTCCGCCATTCCCCTGCCCCAGCCCCTTTTCCCTCCTGTCTTGCATGGCATTGTGAACCCTGGAGGTCAAAATCAAGGGTAGGTGGGAGTGCTGGGGCTCAGTGTCTGTGCTCTGAAGATGTTTTATTACTATTCACTTGGGTTGCTGGAAATAAAAAGCCTGAAGTTTTCTTTTTAAAGGATTAACATTTCTGCTAGTACCAAGCAGCTTATAAAAATTAAAACACAGGAGATCACAGATGTCAAATGTGGATCATGTCTGAAGGAACGGGAAGAAAAGAAATCCGTTTTCTTTCTGAGTGACAATTGCAGCCACCTTGGATGAATTAGTGATCAGCTCCAGAGGACAGCGCTGCTCCCATGTGATGCTATTTATGTTTGTGTTTGTAGGCAAGAGGCCAATACCTCTCTCCTTGTCCTGTTTGCCTAGGGGAGCCCCAAATCTCTGCTTAGCATTCTGTTATGACTACTGACAAAACACTGTGATTTTCTCCCCGGATGTAAACAGATAATTTTGGGACTTTGGGGACAGGATTTGTGGCTGATTTAATGGTGATAATGAGGCCAGACTATACTCCCCCATAGGTGAGAGAGAAGTTAAAACCCAAGTTCAATCCCGTGCATGGTTTTTCTTGCAGATGCATTGTAAACGAGAGAGAATTTCAAATCTGGTGGACATGTGCCCATATTCAAGGATGGGTGCCTTGCCTATATTTCTTGGCTCATTTTTTTTTCTTTCTATAATAGAAAGAATGAGGATCACTTTAGATTCCTGGCTTGAGCTAGTGGATGCAAAGCCCTCATTTATCCAAAGAAAGGAATGCCACTGTTTATTTATTAGTGACTGACAATAAGCACCAAGATATGTTCTTAAAACAGTTTGGTAAGTGCCTTTCATCTACGCTTGTTTACAACATAATGAGCATGAATGAATGCACCTCGGGAACTTCAGGAAAGTCTGGCTTGGACCTGAAGCCAGATGACTGGATGCTTATCAGAATCTTTTGTGAATCATCCAAGCTTCTAGCATGTAGGGAAGTGAAGAGAATCACTTTCCTCACGAGTTTTCAGGCATTTCCGACTGTCCCTGACTAATGCAAGAACAGCCTTTTCCCAGAGTTTTGGTTCTTATCCACCAAAATTTCCTAACACCTGCTTGTGAAGATCCCTTCCACAAGCCTGTGTGCAATTTATCTTCAGGGACCTCTTGAGAGGCTATGTCTAGAATGTCCCTGTTCAGACAAAGATGCTAACCATATAATGAAAGACAGCACTATCTGTAGTGGGGTTAACTAATGGGGTGATGTCTTCTTTCTGTGTCTTTCCTACTTTGGTCCTTAATAAGCACAGATTCCACAATTTGGACTTTTGTTGTAAAATTAAATAAGTTTCATTTTGCATTTTTAGTTTAAAAAAAAAAACAAGTTCAGAGTTTATATAAATGTTTTGTCTCCTAGTAGTTTCAGTTTGTTTATTTCTTTCTGTATGTTTAAAATTCAGTTACCTTTGGCTAAGTGAATAGCTGTGCTTGAATTAAAGGACAAGGATTCCCATCAACGAGAATATTTGGCAGGCACATGTTGGGTGCTCCAGAATCACTGGAAGAAGGATAACAGAGTAAAAATATATGTGATACAGTTCCATGCTTTATGCATTGCAATAGTTGCCATTTATTGATTATCAGCTCATACATACTGAAAAATGCAACTTATAGGAAAGCATAAGGAAATTTAAACATCTATACGAATATAGTTTTTTCACCAGAAACTTTAACTTTAGACTACTACTGCCTAATCAAATCCCTTTTCATAGTGAATACATTTTAATGTCTTTGTATTGTTTTATCTTTCGTTGTTAAGTAAAAAAAAAAAAGAAGAAGGTTCAGAAAATATTCACAGGCAATTACCAAAATGAAAACCATTAGTAAAAATTTCAGTTTTGCTTTCATTTCATAGTCACAATATTGATTAAGGCTTCTAGATTCATACTGACTCATTTTTTTTTCAGAATGTATTTTCTTTCCTTTTAAATTTTCTAAGTTACCTTTTTAGTTCTGAAGAGCTTCAGACTTAGAGAATTATTGTGAAGACAGTAGACAATCCCCATATATGCACACACAGCTTCTCTTATTAGTAACATATATTATGTTTACCATTGTAGTATGGTACATTTATTATTATTATAATTATACCTTATTATTTACTGAAGTCTGCTTTATTTGGATTTCTTTAGTTATCTAAGTCCTTCTTTCTCTTCCAAAATCCTGTCTAGGATCTCACATTCCACTTAGTAGTCATGTTTTCTTAAGCTCTTAGCCCTGACAGTTTACTCATTCGTTTTAATAAATATTTACCATTCTTGTAAAATCTTAGGTGTTATGCTGGGTAAGGTTTGGCAAATAGGTTTTATTGCATTGCCAATTTTGTTTGATTGGAGATTTGCTTTGAGGGCTGTGTTGCAGATGACTCTGTATCCGTGTAATACGTGTAGTATGTAGAATGTACATCAAGAATGATGTCCACCCTTTGAATACAAGAGAAAATGGTAGCACAAATGCCTGATCTTTATTTTAAGATATAAGTTAATTAGAAAAAAATAAATTGTAATTTTTTACATTACATTTAGGAGGTTCAGATGATGAATGCATAAAGTTTCAGCAACAAACCATGCCATCATCTGAAATTCATTGAGCATATATTGTGTGCTGGGTTTAGGGATAGATTATGAAGGAGAGAAGTTTGGAATCTCTAACATGGACCCTGGAACCTCTAACTTGATATCAACATATAAACTATAAACAGTAGTATCTACAGGAAAGGAGCTTTTACAGAAGAAGTATTCATTGCAGAATCTATCAGAGAAAGGGTGTGTGTACATGAGTGTTTGTGTGTGTTTTATTTTTCCAAAATGTAGGTATAGAGTTAAGAATAGGTATGACTTAGGCCAAAACGAAAGAAAGGGGAATTCCAGGCTTACATGGGTATATTAGGGATGAGGAAAGAAGAAATTCTTTCTTCTCCTAATATATCTGATTTATGGGGGACTTAAGGACAAGGAGGTATTATTTGGTAAGAAGCCAATTAACTTGGGCCTTCCTTCTTCTCTGAGGCCATCAAGTCACTATTTACATCCTATAACCTTATAGATAGATAATATATGGGTTTTCAGAACTTAAGGAGAAAAACATTACTTTCAGCCAAGTAACTAATAGGATTGATAGAATCTTGATGCTCAGCTTGAATTTGTTATACTCTTCTGTCTGTGCCACGCTATAATAATCTTGAGGCTGATTTGTGAGTGCAGCTTGTAGGATCAGTTTTATAACTTCAAAGTCACACCATGGTACTCTCTCTGGGAATGCCAAGTGCAAGAATGGGAAAAGGAAATTAATATATTCTGAGAACTGAGTTTGTGCCAGGCTCTAGGCTAGCGGCTTTTCAAACATATCTTGCTCATCTTCATAATAGTTTGCCAAAGCATGTTGCAAACTTGAAATATTACCAGAGAAAAAGTCATACACATTTTGTTCAGGACATTTTTAGTAATTCCAGCAGGACCTAGGAGCTTGGATGTTCCAACTGTCTGATTTCCAAAATTGGGGATGTGTTAGGCATAAGAATGTCTCTCAAAGATGTCCATACCCTAATCTCTTGATCTTGTAAACAGGTTACTTTACAAAGTAAAAGAGTTCTCTGCAGATAAAATCAAGGTTACTGACCTTAAAATGGGAAGATTATCCTGGATTATATGAGTAAATTGAATCTAATCACATGGACCCTTGAAAGCATAGAAACGTCTTTGGCTGCAAACAGAGATACAGCAGAAGAGTATCAGGAAAGAAAAAGCATAAAGAAAAGAAGATCAGAAAGATTTGACACATCAGAAGGACTGGGCCAATGAGTCCCAGTTTAGGAGATGGATGGGGCCATAATCCAGGGATTTAGGCAGACTCTAGATGCTGAGAATGACCCTGAGCCAACAGCTAGCAAGGGAACAGGGACCTTAGTTCTGCAACATGGAACTAAATTCTGCCAACAACCTGAAAGAGTTAGGAAGTGGATTTGTACCCAAAGCCTCTAGTAAGGAACACAGCCCTGCTGACACCTTGATTTTAGTCCAGTGTGTCCTCTTTCTGTTCTAACATACACAACTGTGAGATAATAAATGAGTCTTGCTTTAAGCCACTAAGTTTGTGGTAATTTGTTAGGGCAGCCATGGCCAATGTCACTGACCCAGGTGGGACATGTGATAGAGTAGGGATGCCTGGCTGCACTTGTAGGTTACAGAATAAAGGAGGAATAAAGACATTGTCTAAGAGTAAAAACAGGTGTGAACACTTGGAAATGGATAACAAGGTCTAGACCAAATTTAAATCCAAGAGGAAGCTATTAAAAAGCAGGGCTGGTTTCCATGTGAGCAATGCTATGAACATTACCTCCCACACTGCAGCCAAACCACGGTCCCCACTGGACTGAGCAAAGATGCTTCTGCTGTGAGTGTCCCTGTGTCAGCTGACTCCTTTCTTACAGCGCTTCACCCTATAGAGGGCAAAATTAGGCACGTTGCCTTATGGCATAGGACTAAGAAGAAACAAAGCCAAGTCCTCATTTTCTCTTTCAGGGTTGCAAAAGCAGTCTGCAGGAGTCCATATAACTGCGGAAAACAGAGCTCTCAGTCTATACCTGTGATGCAGTTATTGTTATATGAAGGATGAGGCACAGACATGACTGGATAACCTAGAGTGACAAAAGGGAAAAACCTTGCAGGGACGTCTTCTCCCTATTATTTACTTCTCTACATCCACTCATATTCAGGGCTCTGTTTAAAACCTCCAGCATAATCCCACCTAACCCCCTTGGGATTGGATTCACCTTCTACCTCATGTTTTTCTCCATCAGAGACCCTAACACACTGAAGAATAACTGCATGTTTCTACACTGAGTGACTTCAGGGTGGCCAGGGAGAATAATCCATTATTTCAATATCCTCAGCTCTTTAAGCAATGCCTGGCACATAGTAAACTCTCATTTATTTTGCAGCAAGTATTGTGTGCCTTGGATTTTTTTCTTCCTTTATGTTGTGATGACCATGGGAGTGCCCAGTTCCTTATGTGAATAGACTGTTGGTGGAGCCAGCATATAAATGTTCCAGGCCAGCTTAGATCTGGTTGAATTTCCAGGGCCTATGTAAATTAGACTGGCTTTTGGTACTCTCACCTTATGTGTTAAAGTGAATGGGTTAACTTGGAATTAGAGTTACTGTTGGAATATCATTACTTTTATTCAAAATAAAATGCCTAACTTGTTGCATTGATGATTACTCAAAAAGTCAAAACATGATTATAGGGATTAAGTCAGCACATGTTAATATATACTCATAATTTACATGTCACCTGCGTAGCTGTGTTTCATGTACACCTCCACCTGTTTCATTGGCTGAAAATATCCAAGCACCTTCAACGCTCAGCTCTTGTTCATGTCACCTTTCTGGCAATGATGCACCGAAGGCCATAAATGTTAGATCTGCCATCAGACATCCACCCACGTTTGTAGAAGCTGGGCACGTCTGTTTCTATAGCACAGTTGCCAACCACACGTTAATTGTTCACTATGAATAGAGACCATATGGACTTTAAATGCCGAGGTTTGAAATATTTTTTCCTTTCATTTTGAAAGCTTTTACTTGAAATGTGAAAGGTTCTAAGTAGTGCTTCATTTCCTAACGAAAAGAAAAGGGGAGAGGAAAAGTCTTCCACAAAATGCTGTGAGGAAAAAAAAAAAAGAAACAAAAACAAACTTCTTTCCCAACGTAATGTTTTAACTGTCTACTCATTTATAGGCACAATTAGAGAGTAGCTGGCTCTATTGGACACAAAGAAAAATAGATTTTAGTGTATTCTACAAAGTGGGGAGAAAAATCTATCTTTCCAGTGATTGTATTAGAGAAGTGAACCAATTAGTTGAGTCAAAAAGAGGAGAAGTCCAAAGAAATATTCGTTGTTTTCTCTTTCAAAGCCCCAACTTGACAATATGTGTTTTTCTTAACCAGTAACTCTAGATGGTAATTAGCTTAACTCAGGGCTGAGTGCAAGCTTGAGATATGGTGTCTGTCTTCCTTTTTCCTCCATTGCTCTCATAGCAGCAAGAAAGAAGTACAATCAGAGGTCACCTCAGCCCCTGAATCAGGTTAAAACCATAGTGGATATAAATGAGTCTTGTGTTTATTTACCACCGCCACACACTACACAACCCTGCACATACAAATATCACTTGCTCAACACATCAACAGAAGTTTATCTTTCTGGACAAATTGCTTTGAAACACCACACCTATGTTGATACTTAAGGGAGAATAAAACTTAAAGATGGGGAAGAAAATCCATTAAGAGCAGTTTTGTGTGGCTATATAAATCCTAGTGCAGCCTCAGGGTCATGGAAAGATGTGTCTACAGGCAACTGGGACCCTCTGGGCAAAGCTCCTCCCTTTCATGCTGAAATCCTGAAAAACTCATGAAGTGCTATTGAGTGCCGAAAGCCATCTCAGAGTTTATGAAAATTTCCTCTGGAGTTCCATTCTTACGAAACTCTTGCCCTTTAAAATAACAAAAGCAAACCAGGTGAAATCAGTGGCTTGCCTGTTTCCTCTAAGGTTGGATCTCTTGCTCCCAAACTATCTTTCAATGCTTCCTAGTCAAGAATTCTATTCTTGATAATGTCTTTGTCCATATCACCATGAGGCCACTAAACTGGACCTTTATGTGACCAAGACATCTTTGGATTACTATGGATCAGAGCATCAGAGACCTGCATGAGAAATATCTTCTATTCTCAAGCATAGCTGGAAGGACTGGGCAAGGTGAGGCTCACTCCAGATAATTTGTGACCATCCATTACACTTGCTGAATTTATCTCTCTCTCTCTCTCTCTCTCTCTCTCTGTGTGTGTGTGTGTATACATAAATGTGTATGAGGATTGTTATCTTGTGCCAGGCACTATGCTGGATACTAAGGATACATCAGTGGACAGGACAACCACAGTCATGGAGCTTATAAACTAACAGGGAAGATGACAATTAGCAAGAGAATTTGATACAGTATGTGCTAAAAGGAATCATTCCAGAGAGTCCCTCTTCTCTGTAGATATCAGGAAAGTTCTCTAAAAAGAAATTAAATTTAAGCAATGGATACTTTGGGGTTAGCCAGTAGAAAGAGGGTAGGATACAGGAAGGAAATGTGCCAAAATGAAAGATGGCTGAAAACATGGGAAGGCTGGAAACTAGGAAAATAATTTATTTAAAAAATTAAAAGGAGTGGCCCGGCGTGGTGGCTCACACCTGTAATCCCTGCACTTTGGGAGGCCGAGGTGGGCGGATCACCTGAGGTCAGGAGCTCGAGACCAGCCTGGCCAACATGGCGAAACCCCGTGTCTACTAAAAATACAAAAATTAACCGGATGTGGTGGCATGTGCCTGTAATCCCAGCTACTCGGAAGGCTGAAGCAGGAGAATCACTTGAACCCGGGAGGCAGAGGTTGCAGCAATCCAAGATCACGCCACCGCACTCCAGCCTGGCCAAAAGAGCGAAACTCCATCTCAAACAAACAAACAAAGAAACAAACAAAAAAAGTTAAAGTAGTTCAATATGATCCTATCTGAAAACAAGAAGCCTTGAGTTGTAATAATTATTCAACTAACTATATAATTCTTGAAACAGGTAGATACTGAATAAGTAAATATTTGTTGAATGATGGAGTATATTAGTTATCTATTGCTGTGTAACAAATTATTCTAAAATGTAGTGGATAAAACCAACAATCATTTATTATCTCCCACAGTTTCTGAGGGTGAGGTATCCAGCAGTCGCTCCACTGCGTGGTTCTGGCTCAAGGTCTCTCATGAGTTGTAGTCAAGAAGTTGGCCAGGGCCACCTCATATGAATACTGCCCTGCACTGAAGGACCTTGTCCCAAGATCACTCATGTGACTGTGGCCACAAGGCCTGGGTTTCTCTCTGGATGTTGGCTGGAGGCCTCAGTTCCTCATGACCTACAGGCTCCACCGCAGGGCAGCTCATACATGGCTTTAGAGGGTTTCCTCTAAAGCAAATGATGAAAGACCCATGTACACACGCAAACACACACACACACACACACACAGAAATAGAAGAACAGAACAGGGAGATACGCACACACGAGTGTACAAAAGTGTACAAAGTCTTTTATAACCTGAACTCAGAAGTGACAAACCATCACTACTGCCATATCCTGCTGGCAATGCAGACCAACCCTGATACAATATGGGAGAGTTCACACAAGGGCATAAATACTAGGAGTAAGAGATCACTGAAGACCATCTTGGAGGTTGGCTACCATCAGTAGTGACCAATAAAAGTAATCTAAATAATGGAAGTAATATTGCCAAGAATGTTAATAGTCACACATTTTTGGAGAGAAGTGATCTGAAGATGTCCCTGCTCTTCAGCATTCAATGACTAAGTATTTGCCAAATCGCGGGCCATGTTCAGAACTTGGTCTTCAAAGTTCTGATCTTGAGTAATCTTTCATGACTTGTCTTGCACTTCTCCCACAGAAACCAGATGAGTCAGGCTGCTCCTTCCTTCCAGATCCCTAGCTTTGATATTTAGTCCTGATAATTCTGTCTTCCTGGAGGGCTTGCCACTTTGCCCTTAGCTATATCTGTCCAATTCTAACACATTTCAAATGTGGTTTCCTTTATAGATACTTTTTTGATCAGTCTTCAAACCACCAAAGTGACTTTCTCACCCTGCTCCTTGGAGCACTTGGCATCTTTTTTCTGACGTTTGTTCTTTGTTTCACGTGATGATTATTTGTAGACTTGTCATATTCCCCTAATTGTACATTCCAGAAACAGCAGGATTTTGTCATACTATCCTGTTCATACAGCACTCAGGGCTGTGTTTGGTACTTAAAGTTGGCATTATCTGAATATCTTTTCCCTGATCTTTATATAATTTTGGACATTACCTTACACCTTCTGGCTTCAGATTGATTTGGGTTTCGTTTTCCATTACAAAATAGAAATAATCCACATATAGACTCCAATTCACCCTTTAAATGAGTCAGTCACCTACATGTGATACTCTGCTGAAAACACAAAAATGCAATTGCTTCCTTCTGCTAAACAGCTTTCTGCCTAGAATCACATGGCAATTCCTTGTCTCTGGCTCTCAATGCCCTTGGATCTTGCAGACTTAGGTGCACGTTCAGATCCTGTGGTAGATTATACTGATTGCATGATCCTCTTTCAGAAATATTCTTCTGACCTCATCTTTGGCACACTCTCTAATAGTACCAGAACCCTGGCTTCCCCAGCTAGAGTAGTGGGAAGGGATTCTGGCTGCAGGCTCCTGGGACTGCCACTGACTGAGCCACTCATGCCTAGTAATTTTACAAATAATACTATACAGTTATATCATGCTCCAAAGTTTATAAAACTCATCCATCGACATCACCTCATCTAATTCACAAAAAATTATTGTATTTGGCTTGTTCCTATCCTCATTTTTATATCTTTAAAAAAATGATCATCATAAAATCTATGTGACTTGTCAAAGATTACAGAACCACCCATGGTAACATCAGAAGTTACTTCCAGGTTTTCTGACCCTAAGTCCACTTTCTATAACTGTAGCTCTATAGTTACTTGACTTTAAGATCCTCACATCCATGGGACAAGTTTGCTTATTGCCCTGCTACATACTATACCTCAGCCTGTCAGAATAGCTGGTCTAGAGTCACACCATTAAAATTGGTCTTATGCTCACATTTATCATTGGTAGGTAAGGAATCAAGACAAATCTAAGTCAGCACATAATGAGCCAAGGTCTCACTGAAGCCAGAAGAGGACAGGAGTGGGCAGGTATATCTCATGGCTTAAGTGAGTTGTTGGGTAATTCAGCTGGCTGGCAAGATGAGGAACCTGGCTAAAATACTGAAGCAAATGTTTCCACAGCCTTGTAACCTAAAAGTAAAGTAAGGCTTTTACTATTGAATACTTGACATTTTCCTCAAAGCTTAGGTTTTCTGCTCAGTCGCAACCTCTAAAACTCATCTCTGTTTTTTGCTTTTTTTTTTTTTTCCTTAACCTAATCAGCTGCTTGGAACAAATACCTTTTACCTGTTTGTAGTTCTTGTTGTATTTGCCCAATCCCAGGATGGACTAGGAAGTGTTCCATGGGTCCTTGTATCAGACACTGGGAGCCATATCTTCTTATTAGAATTAGTACTGACCAATTTCAAACTGGGGACCCTGAATTCATAGTGAGGATAAATATATCATCTGTGTTGGATCATGCAAACCTTGGTTCAAATCCTAGTTTTCGCACTTGGCAGTTATGGTCTATCCTGACTAGGAAGTGAGGATAATAATATACACCTCTTTTCAAACTCATTAGACGAAATAACAAATAAAGTAATTAGGCTAGTACTTGGTATATGTAAGGTACCTGGTAAGGACCTTATATAATTGTTTCTACACTATTTTTTCTCATTCTTTTGTAATATCCTGAATATTCTTAAAAACAAGTTTATATTCCCTATAGGATAAGCATCAGAAAGTTCCAGAACTACAATTGGTCAGAAGGTTTCTCTGATCTGGAGGCAACCTCTGTGCCCTTCAGGAAATAGAAGCTCCCTGTTTCTAGAACTGGAAAACTACAATGAAAAAAAAAAAAATCTATCCTGAGGCCCCGGTGGGGCTGGCTCAGAGGCAACACCCTTTCCCCTTCCCATGTCCTGTGAATGAATGTCTTGCTCTGTGTATGTGTCCAGGACCCTGAGGTGAAGAGCTGGGGTAGATAATCTGATGAGCACTTGGTCCAATGGGGAAGTGGTCCATAGGCTTTCCATGGGTCATTATCCTTTGGAGCTGTGTAAGCCTTGTGCTGGGAGACCTAGGTGACATATTAGGAGCAGTGGTTCTTCCTCCCCAGGCAGAGGTTGCATGCACAAATGCACAATTCTCTTTCCACACTCTAGGCAGTGCAAGTCCCAGCAGAGCATTGTTCTCATTAGTTGCTCTCCTACAACTGGTTTTCAGAACAAATGCAAAGCACAAACTTTATCCCAAGGGGCTGATCCTAAGAAAATAACAATACAGAAACAGGCACAACACTGAAGATACATGAAGAAGAAATACAAATGTTTGTGCCATAATTTTTTCTAATACTATCTGATTTTTATGCTAAGGCATGAGCAGAGAAAAGACAGAAAAGTCAACAATGGACCAGAATGGAGGATTCCACAGGGAGACCAGACCTAGACCATTGCCCTCTACCTGGAAGAGCAATGGATGTATCTGGGATAGGCAGGATTGGAATCTAGGTGGGTTGGGTATGCAGGGAGAGCTGAGCTCTGTCCCAGGAGGTGGGTTCCTTTGAGATTTTTATAGTTCATAAAGCCTGAGTCTGTCTATGTGATCACAGCCCGGTGAATTCTGACCCTGAATGAACCATTCTTTCATACTCTAGTGGTTATTTTCAAACTCATAAAAGACTCCCCAAATACAATTGAAAGAAGTAAGTTTTTTTTTCTCTATATATGAGTTCGGGTTAATTTTAGAAATGAAATAATTGTGATTTGAATAAGATAGACTTTTAGTTCTCTTTCACATGGAATGGTTCTGGAGGTGAGAAGTCAAGACCCAGCAAAGAGGCTCAATGGTTGTCATGGCTTGGGGCTTCTTCTACTTCTCAGCTCTTTCCTTACACAGATGTGACCCTCATCCTGATGGCCCAAGATGTTTATAGAGCTCCAAAAGTTACATCTATGTTCTAGAGCATAGGATAAAGAGAAGGATGACAAAGGGTGTAGCCTTTCATTTTAATGAGAATTGTTGGAAGTTTCATGTACTTCTTACATTTCTGTCTTAGGCACATTTATCCCAGAATCAGACCCCGAGACAGGGATTCAAGTGCTTCTAAGTAGTTTATGTGGGAGGTGTAGGGAACACTGGTGGAGAAATAAGGAATTGTATAGTAAACAGAAAGTAGCCAAAAAAAAAAATGCTTTACTATTCTGCCAGCAATCAAAGCAGATATTTGGAGCATAATTGGCAAGTAAATTCTGGGCAGTGGAACAAAATATACACCTTTAAATTCTCCCACCCAAGGGGTGAGAAAGCTGAGTGTTTGTACACCAATTCTGGGGAGTCATTAATTGAGGGTTACTCCTGACTGTGTTAACTAGAATCTCTAGTTTGTCACATGCAGGCAGTGGCCTTCAACTGTGTTGGGAAAAGATGTTGCCAGCACAGAAGTGTGGATCTTTGGCTATTGAAGCACATTGAAGAGTTCAGGGGAATATAGGTGGGGTACTGAATGCTTTGGCTAAAATATGGCTATACCTCATTCTAAGTGGTTAGAAAATGTGGTCTTTTATATTGGTTCATTGCTTCCACCTCAGATATGGAGTCTTGTTTTTAAGGTGGACAGAAAAAATAGATTTGCATTAGGCGACTCGGAGTCTCTGTTAAGTGCACTTAACAAACTGTGCCTCCATTGTACTCCCTAAAGACTATTACTGAATGAATTAGATTTGCATTTCAAAGTGCGTTGAATTTATCAAGACTCACTTCTTACATATGAAAGTGAAATCATTCTGCCTTTCCTATAGGAATACTTCTGATTAAGAAAGAGAATATTCCTTCAATAAATATTAATCTCTTAATTTGAAGTTTAACATTTAAATATTTGAGTTGTTAGTATTCTATTTCTAGCCATAGCATATATTAGGGCTAGAGAAACAATTGTCATAATTATGATTTCTGACTATTTGAGATATCAGATAAATCAGGATTCAAGAACTATGTTCACAGGTATTTGCAAAGAATTCACAGGATAGACCCTTATAAAAAGAGCATCAATGGTGAAACCCCACCTCTACTAATAATACAAAAAAATCAGCTGGGCATGGTGGTGGGTGCTTATAATCCCAGTTACTAGGGAGGCTGAGGCAGGAGAATCACTTGAACCCAGGAGGTGGAGGTTGCAGTGAGCTGAGATCGCACCATTGCACTCCAGCCTGGGTGACAAGAGCGAAACTCCATCTCAAAAAAAGAGGGAAGAATGGTCCATTCTGACTGACTGGTCAACCACCTCAGAGAGTAATGTCAGACAGCCAATGGAATCAGGTACAAATTGACTTAAGTAGTTGTCGGCCATGTTCCAAAGTGAGCAAATAAGAACAAGCTAAGAGTAGTATGGGTAATGCGGCATAAAAGTGACACAAGTTAGCCAGAATAAAGATGATGGATCCTTCTCGACAGGGTACAGTAGCTCAACACATCATGTCTCAGGCAGTACAGTTATAAATTCTATTAACCTAGGCCAGATTGACACCTAGTAGCTTTTATTTGGAAATACAGGGCAGGTTATAATGATGGGATAATCCCAGATCAGGAATGATCATGAACTCATTAACACTGTTGTGGGAAGCAGCCAGAGAAAAGTAGAAAAAACACTATGTTTTTACTTGGGAGCTTTCTTCTTAGAGCTGCTGCTTCTGAAAAGAAATCCAACCGAAAACACCTTGTAAGTGTGAAGGTTTACCCTTGTGATAGTCATTACTGTAATTCACCAAAAATTCCCAGGTCTCTACCTACCAAGCAGCAGGGAAAAAAGCTCTTGCTGGAGTTACTGGATTTATATGGGATCATGTGATTAGTTCCAGCCAATAAGCTGTGTGCTGAAGGAAAATGTGACCCTTTGGGGCTGGAGCATCTCTTTGCCAGTGTACAACACTCTAGGGCTTTCTTTTCCCTCTGCCCCAGTGACCCACAGCATTCCAGAGAGTGGCTGTGTTGTCATCCTTGACCTTGAATTAGGGTGATGCTGAGCAGAACCCCCAGCCAACACAGTTGGGTATGTAGCATGACAGGAAATAAATGTTGTTGTTTTAAGCCATAACATTTTGGAGTTGTTTGCTACCACAGCAGAATCGAACCTATCCTGACCGATACCATCCTGGGGATAGTTTATCAAAATTGTCAACACATGCTTTCTGTTGTGCCCTGAAAATTCGATTTCTTTCTCCCACAGCTCTTTGTTTCTTTTACTTCTCTTTTAGAGAGAAACGTGTTTATTTATTTAAGGAAGCTCTTCATTTGAATATTAAAACCTTTCTTTTCTGGCAATGCCACAGGAAGAAAATCTTCCCCAGGAATCTGATCCTCTTTCTTTACAATTCCTGAGTTCAGAGCAAAGGAATCAAGTTTCTGGCAGAGATCAAAGCACCTGTGCCCATGTCTTTTTGCTACTACTCTTCATGACCACTGACTGCTGGATTGATTAAAGACAGGCGGGAACTTCATCTGAACACTAGAACCTATTCCTACCCGTGTGTGCAGAGCACACAAACTCAGTCCCTAGGAATCCACAAAATTATCTGTTACAGTATATGCTATAGGTGACATGAGAAACAATTTCCTTCCTTCCTTCCTTCCTTCCTTCCTTCCTTCCGTCCTTCCCCCCTCCCTCCCTCCCTCCCTCCCAAGAGTTTATATAACATGGTAAGACTGGCAATCACAAATATAACAAAAAGCCATTATTAGGAAAGTGGTAACATACTGACTAAATTAGGATTGGGATTCAGAAAATGAGCAATGAATCTTTTCTGAGCCAAGGCTTTAGAGAAGAAAAGCATCTGGGTACGATGCCTCATGACTGTAATCCCAGCACTTGGAGAGGCTGTGGTAGGCAGATCTTTTGAGCTCAGGAGTTCATGATCAGCCTGGGCAATGTGGTGAAACCCCTTCTCTACAAGAAATAAAGAAAAACTAGCTGGGTATGACACATGCTGGTAGTCCCAGATACTCAGGAGGCTAAGGTGGGAGGATCACTTGAGCCCTGGGGAGGTTGAGCCTGCAGTGAGCCATGATTGCACTACTGCATTCCTGCCTGGGTGACAGAATGAGATCCTGTCTCAAAATTAAAGAGAGAGAGAGAGAGAAAGAAAGAAATAGCTTTTATTATAAATAACAGTGGCTAAAGTTAAGATGGTAACACAAATGTAACCATGTGGAATAAGACAGATGGATACTGCCAAAGCCGCTTCAAATTCTGACTTGCACCATAAGATCCTGATACCCTGATACGCCAGTTGTTGTAAAGGGCTGTGAGTGATGGAAGGACAGACATTCCTGCCTTTCCAGCAGAACCATCCAAAATTGCTTCATGAGCCCTTGGCACTGCTCCCAGCTCCACTCGGAACTCTGCAAGAGACAACTTTTCCCGGTGGAAACTTCATTTGCTGCTTTAGTTTAATTCTGTTTCAATGCCAGTGACCGTACGCTTATCAGAGAAGAAAAGAGAAGCAAAGAAAAGGAGCTGGCTGTCCCCAAACCATTGTGCACTCTTCACTCTTTGCAGCTGGCTCTTCCCTGCTTCCATTCTTCTATCCCCTTTTATACTGTGATTCTTTATGTCAAATCTTCATTAACATCCTGAACCCAGTGCTATTGGGGAAAGTTTTGTTCTCTCAATCTTATTATGCTCAAAATATTGTTGGGCTCACATTCGTTTTATTTTTGTCTGTTGATATTTTCCTAACTTCATTTTTTGAGAGTTGTATTATTATTTTTAACTCTAATATGGTTCCTGGGACAGAATGAAATGGCTTTGCCAGAAAAATTGATGGGTTTGAGGAGGAGGTTGCCGTGGAAACCATTTAGTTTTTAATGATGGCACATCTTCTGGAAAGAACTTGAGACCGGGAGGACACTTGATCCTTTTTATGGCACAGATAGCACAGGGCCTAGAATTGAGTTTCCAAACAAAAGACAACGGGGCAGCCTCTTATGTTTCTTTTTTACAACACCCACACATTCACTTTTCTTTCAAATAAACAGTGACTCTACGGTCTTTATGACACAGGAGTTCAGTGCTTGGAAACAAAGTAGTTGTAGAATGAACGTACTTCAGGATATGTTTCCTTGAGGGGATGACTTGATTCCAATTAAAAGGTAATGGTAAATTCTCCTTGTAAATAAAGAGAATTTAAATGATAAAAGTCTGGTTGTCCCGTTCCTCATTCTCTGTCTTGTTTCTCGTTTTCTATGCCTCTTTTGTATCAGCCAAAGTTAGGGTACATTTGGCTTCTTGTTCATTTCAGGTAGAAATAGGGAAGAAAATAATGAATGATTGAAACATGATAGAATTAATGAATCATAAGACATTCTCATGAAAGCAGTGTGGGACCTTCATATTTTCTTTTGGCCACTCTAAAGGAGAACTAGGAAAAGGAAGAAACAAACAAGAGGCTACTCTTGTGCAAAAGTTCTTGGAGTTTCATAAGATTTTCAAATTGTATATGGTAACTACCACTGAAAGATGTTAGGGAATAACACCAAATTGCCATTTGATCTTGGACAAAGCACCCCATTTGCCAGGCTTCAAGTGCCTCCATGAATGGTTTGGACTGAAGTCACAGGAATTTTCCAAATGATAAAGGTTATGAGATTATAAAATAAAGCTCAGTGTTGCAATTTATGTTTTACACTAGTGTGTATCTTTCTCATTAACCTAAATTCTTGGGTTATTGTTTTCCCTCTATCATTGCCCTTGGCCAGAGAACAGTACTTCGTGCATTCCCCAAACGACAAGCTTCCTTTTGACTCTGCAAAGGCAATCACGCATAAAAACAACAAAGGAGAAACACTAATTATTTGAGGGCTGAAAACACACCAGAGTGAGACCCTGTTTAAAAGATTTACAAAGAGATTTATACCAGCCAGGTCATTGCAAAATGAGAAATTGACTCACAGTATTGAAGTAGACATCCCCAGAAGGGTTTGGTTTCATATTGCCTGCCTTTTGAGAAACTCAGATATGCTGATTAAATATTTTGCTGTTGCTGACTTTCAGAAGCCTGTTGCTACAATAGACTTGCCGAGTTGCCTGTGATTGCACAGGGTCTTGCTTAGAGTGGCATTATCTCCTCATACCTACAACAGTCCAGCTAGTCTAGTTGTCAAAAAGATTGACATATGTTTGGCATGGGCTGCCACCCAGTTGTGTAGAGTTTTTTGTTGCCATTATTCCTATATAGAGTCAGTTCTGCTATAACATTTATTTTGAAAATAGGAATTAGTCCCAATATAATTGATATATCAATGAGTAATTTGAGCCTAATTCAAATTTTCCATTTGCTTATGCATGATTTTGTTCACATCTAAACTAAACTGAAGTGTTCAGTGAACACTGAAAACTGTACTGAGTCACACACACATATGTACACCTTAAGCATCTACCAGTGACCTCAGTTCATCACACGTTATGAGCCACAGTCATCCACACCTGGTGTTGCCTGACATCAGCTAATCATCCTTCCACCACTTCACAGTAACTCATGAGCTGGAATCCTTCTGACACCTTCTTCCACAAGCAAACTTCAGGACTTTTTCAAGGTAAAATGCTGTATTTATTGCAGTATTTATTGCAGTATTTATGTGTTTCTTAATCACTTCATATATGTAAAACTGCTACCATTTTTATTAGATTTCTCTCAATTTCTTTGTTTATATGTCAGTGTCAAGTTTTTGAGTATTTTCCTCTTGGTCCCTGCAGTTTTTGTTGCACAATTTTGCATGCTGGAGTGTATCAGTTTTCGGTTACTGCTGAACCTCAAAAGTGGCTGCTTAAAACGACACAAATTGGCCAGGTATGGTGACTCACATCTGTAATCCCAGCAATTTAGGAGGCCAAGGTGAGAGGATCACTTGATACCAGGAGTTTGAGACCAACTTGGGCAACCTAGTGAGACCCCATTTCTAAAAAATAATAAAAATAAATTGGCCTCGCATGGTGGCATGCACCTGTAGTCCCAGCTGCTCGAGAGGCTGAAAGAGAAGGATTGCTTGAGCTCAGGAGGTCAAGGTTGCAGTGAGCCATGATCGGGCCACTTCACTGTAGCCTGGGCACAGAGTGAGATACTGTGTCTAAAAATATATATATACATATATATATATATATTCTCTCATAGTTGCTGTGAGTCAAATGCCCACTCACAGTGTGACTTGACTGGATTCAACTGGGTTCTCTGCTTAAGTTCTCACAAAGCCAAAATCAAGCTGTTGGTCAAGCAGGGCTCTTATCTAGAGGGTACTGGAGGAGAATCCACTTCCAGGCTTATTCAGGTTGTGGGATAATTGCAGGCTGTCCTCCCTATTCCCTTGGTTGTTTTCTTAGTGGTTCCACCCATATGCCTTGGCTCATAGGCCAGCTCCATTTTCAAAGCCAGCAACAACATGCAAAGTTCTTATTTTGCTTTGAATCTCTCTATTCTCTCCTTTCGCTCTATCTCCCTGATTTCCTCTTCTGACCTCAGCTGGAAGAAAATTCTGCTTTAGGAGCTATGTAAGGACTTTCAGCCCATCCACAAAATCCAAGATAAATCCCTCCTTAATTGTGTCTGCAAAGTCTTTTTTTTGCCATGTAACATGACATATTCATACCAGGGGTGAAGGTCATGGGGCCAGATTTCTGTCTATTACACACAGTGATTTGTAGGCATATACCCATCACCTGAAAGCAGAACTGACAATGCTGATGAATTGTCTTTGTGTTCTCATAGCTTTCCTGCTCCTCGTCCTGCTTTTAAAATGTTGAGATCCTTCAACATTCATTCTTTGCTGTCTTTTCTTTGCACTCTTTGGAATTAGTACTTATCTTTTCTTTGAGTGACAGACTTTGGAGAATGTAATAAAAAGAGTGCTCCATCTCCTCAGGCAAGTGCAAATACACATTACATGTCATGGATCCCCCTGCAACCCTTCCAGGGAACTCCTGAAATATGTCTCCTTCTGCCAGCTTATGTTGAAGGATGGCTTTGATGTGACAAGTTCTTGCTATGTGCCAGATAAGGTACAACACACTTTGTGTTAACTACCTTATTGCATCCTCATAGCAAAACTATGAGGATAGTTTTGTGATTCACATTTAGCCTGAGGCTTTAAAGCAGCTTGGTATTCTATAAAATGGACTGGAAACTCAAATTCACGTTTTTCTGGCTCCCAAGAAAAACACCTGGCTTGAAATATTACCTCACTACAGTTCATGAAAAACTGTCTGTCTTTTGCCCTGATCTCTGTGCTGATGTCCAACCCAACTAGCACCCCGCTCTCTGTGCAGCTCCAAATTCTCTCTCCATTTCTTCTGCAGCATTCCCTAGCTTTATCACTCTCATCCCTATTGTACCCTCATCAATCAGGTAAACACAAAAACTTGGTTTGTTTCTTCTCTTTTGCTGCAATACCTTATCAATCACAAAAACCCTGCTAATAACCATCCTCTACTCCCATGGAAAACTTCTATTTACCTTTTTTTTTGGAGATAGGATCTTGCTCTGTTACCCAGGCTGCAGTGCAGTGGCACAGTCTCAGCTCACTGCAACCTCCGTCTCCCAGGCTCAAGCGATTCTCCTGCCTCAGCCTCCCGAGTAGCTGGGATTACAGGCACCCGCCACCGCGCCCAGCTAATTTTTGTATTTTTAGTAGAGATGGGGTTTTCGCCATTTTGGCCAGGCTGGTCTTGAACTCCTGACCTTAAGTGATCCTCCCATCTTGGCCTCCCAAAGTGATGGGATTACAGGTAACTGCTATTTACTTTAAAAAGAAAAACAGAAAACATGTCTCCTCCAGAAGTTTATCCAACTCTATCATGGAGAAACATTAAATAATCTCAGATTTTAGAAATATTCCTAATAAATTATTAATAAAATACTTCTACTCTCGCACTTACTTCATTGTATCACAATTAATTATTTTAATCTGTCACAAACTAGATATGAAGTGGGTATTCCCTTGAGTAAAAGGCCAAGTTCTTAGTTTTCATTTTACCATTCTTTCTTAGCATTTGTCTGGAATACAGTGTGTGCTTAGCAAATATTTGTTAAGGGTAACTGACTTAAACTCAATTCAGGTAAAAACAGCAAAGGTATGAGGTTTGAGTAAGAATAGTCTGACTTTTGGCTGGGAGCAGTGGCTCACGCCTGTAATCCCAGCACTCTAGGAGGCCCAGGTAGGTAGATCACCTGAGGTCAGGAGTTCAAGACCAGCCTGGCCAACATGGTGAAACCCCATCTCTACTGAAAATAGAAAAATTGGCTGGGTGTGATGACATGTGCCTGTAATCCCAGCCACTCAGGAGGCTGACACAGGAGAATCGTTTGAAACCAGGAGGCAGGGATTGTGGTGAGAGGAGACAGTACCACTGCACTCTAGCCTGGGCAACAGAGCAAGACTCCATCAAAAAAAAAAAAAAAAAAAAGAGAATAGGCTGACTTTTGTGAGTAAATGGATCTTAAGGTATCATCCCAATTAAAAGAATGAGATTAAAAGTTAAAATGATTGACATGTTTAACCCACTTTAGGGAGTACTTTTATTCCAAATAATGAGTTTTCTAATTAAATAGCATAATACTAGGGGCTACCCTAGGAGGGATGGCTCTTATGTAGACTCCTCTAGTGTTCTGGGCCCAGCCCAAAGAACTGGCCCCATTTTTCTCTACTGGTATTTCACAGCAACTCATTTTTAGGACTATGAATACATGAAATCAGTTGCCCAAGCAACAAACTGCTGGAAACCCTGTGTTATCAGCTTTGTAAATGATTCTAATCTTACAAATGTCAGTCAATGTTGCATCATGGCTGGGTTTGAGAGAGGCTCTGATATCTCTTAGTCTCATCTCATGAAACTTATTGAAGATGGAACATTGAATCAGATCCCTACAAAGACTGCCTTCACATTCTTTAAAAGTAGAAAATATTTTAATATTTAGCATAGTGTTACCATGGATTATAGGATGTTTGTCATGAACAGGCTCAGAAAGTGAGTCAGGCCTATTTTCCTCCAAGTACTAATGGATATGAGTAATATGATTCCACAAAGAAACATTTTCTGAGTGCCACACTAAGCCCAGCCTAGTAAATGACACATTCATCCACTTTACCATATTTAATCCTCAGAACAATACAAATAAGAGCATACTTGTAATCCTCCATTTTTGAGATGAGGAAATTAGGCTGACAGTGATTAAGTAAGTTGCCTAAACTCCCATCACTAGAAAAATTGAACTTAGGTCTGTTTGATGCTAAAGTTTGTTCTAACTTGGTTTATACTCAAGGCAGAACAAGGCAATAATTAGAATGCTTAAGGCAGGAAACTGTAGTGGTAGGTCCAGGGCCCATCTGCTCCATGTCTCCTGCAGTTTCTCTGGAAGCAGCTTTGCACCTGAGTGTTGAAGGATCCATCTGGGACTCCAGAAGTCATATCTTCTAATCTTTCCCAGTGAACTGAGTGAGGCTTGGGCAGATGGTGATTTCTATGCCTCTGCTACAGGTGATTGCACTGACAAGGTTCCTCTACAGAACCATGCCAAGCCGATGCCAGGCCCCTGCCATATGCAGACCTCCAGCCTTTCAACTCTATGCTCATTAACTTATCCAAAGAGCCATTTGGAGAACAAGCCAGTGGGAAGACTTGGAGCCCTGACTAAATGCACTCCAGTTACAGGTCTGTCTTCCACCTGTCAGTTTGCATTCAGACAAGGATGATAATCTGATTAGGTGAATTGGGAATTATCAAGATTCACTCCCTCTCCTTATTTCCACAAAACAGACAGATCTAGAGATGGCTGGTAACCAATGAAACACATGTCGAATGGCCAATTAAATTCCCCCAGCTTTGTTTGACTTCTCAAATTGAAAATCTAATCCTCAATTTCTCTTCACTGGTTAAACCAGCATAAATCTCTCTTGGCATGTGACCTACTCTGACCTAGGAAAAAGCTCCTTTAAATCCCCTGTTATTAGCCTTGATCTTATATGATCCAAGGTCTTTCATTAATTTTCAGCGTGGCAGATGTAAGTCACTCAGTCCCTAAGAACACAAGCCAGGGTCTGGAAGGACAATAATGGGATATCAGGGATATTTAGACAAGGAAGCCTAATCTTTTGAAGTTGACAAAGAAGGAAATTCTCTTGCTTTCCCAAAAAATGACTCTTAGGGCTGCTGTCAAAGAAACAGCATTAAGCAGTCTTTGATTTGAGGTAGGGAGATATTTCCTCCATTACAACCTCACAAAAGTCAAAAATTATTGCATCAATGTTTAAGGAGTCATGAGGCCATCAGGACATTACAGACACTGACCGTGCCTCATGTTCATGGTGTCATTGCTCTGGATTTTTCCTGAGCTCTCCCAGTTAGCGAGCAAAAGGTTTTTCTGGTTTTTGATCAACATGAGTCAACATGGCTCAAAAACTAAAATAGTTTCCCAGAGTGCCCAAGTTATATACTATGTCAGCAAAGGTAAATTTTAAGTGAAGTTAATGAAGGATAAATTTCAGCATCCTCACCTGCATGAGTCACTTCTGAAACCCTAGGAGGGGGCCTGTGATGCTTTAACTTGATTATATATTTTTATAAAATTTGCAAAATTAAACAATCTAACCAAAATCAATTAAAACTATCATAGTTCTACTTGATGCCACCCTCCACAATACTTTCTCTCTTGTTGTATAGCACTGGAGTGGCTGCAGGTATGTTGGGAGTCAGCTAAATTTAGGTTGAGTTTAATGAGATATATTTATGTGATTTGTGGTTATGTCTATAGTCAGGTGACTGTTAGCCAGCTCCTAATAGGAATGGCTTCTGGGAACCCCTCTCCTGTTCACTATGTTGACTCACCCAATATTATGGCAGAAAGTTGTGGGACCAGGGATTATATTAAAATATAATCCCAAAGTGTTCAATACCAAAATATATGGTAAAGACAGAGAAACATGGTTAGATATATAGAGAACCAGAAGCTACTCTGTGGAAAATTCTTCCAATCATCATATATGTAAAGCCATGGTTGAAATGAGGTTCTTTTCCATACTTAGTCAAAGCAAAAGTTTGCTCTTGTCAAGAACATACTTAATAATATAGCATATAAATTTATAAATTCATCAGAAATAAATTTTGTGATTGCTTGATAATTCAATTAATAAAAATAATCATTTGAACACATTGGAAAATAAACAATTTTCTTGTTAATATGACATGAAATACTGACATGGACAAAATAACATAAAACTTATATTATACCATTATAATTAGAATGTCAACAATAATTAGGACAAAATGGATAGTGATTTGCAGCAATTGAAATAATATCTCAGATGATTATATAGGAAAACTTGAAATTCCCTAAAATCTTATAGTTTGTATGTGACAGAATCCTGACAGTTTTCTCAAGTTTGACAATAATCTACATTTTAACAATAATGTCCTTGCCAGTAATGGTTTGTAAGTCTCAAAAAAAAAATTCTGGACTATAAAAAATTTAAAACAAAAACAAATTGTGATCAACTACCAGATGATATGTCAATTCTATTCCATCTTTAGAATAAAATGATACCAAAACAGTGTCTCAGGACAAGTCAAATGAATTTGCAATAAAAAGCATTATATAAAATATTAATTTAAAAGTATATTTTTTATATTTAGTTTTTGTAAGGTCTGTGACATTTGTCAGTCCTTTACAATTATTACTTGTTATTTATTTTCAATTTCTTAATAAATAATTACTTTCTATCTCTTTTTCTTTTTATAATTTTGTACTCATTTCTTAAAAAGCACATCCCAAATTGTATGAGCCTCAGGCTACATGAAACCTGGATCCACCAGTTGAAAGTTGATAAAAACCCAACTCAACATAGAAAAAAATATATGAAAAATCAAGCATGGCTAGATCCAGCATCTCAAATCATGCTATTATTAATAGAATGCAGTCTTATACTTTTACTTGCTTATCTTTCTTTTTTCCCCTTCTATGTTAGTTCCATGCTCAATCCAGCAGTGACAGACTCTCCTCATCCTCACAGTGCTCCCAACACTTTTGACCAAAGTCCTGTGTTGAATCTCATCAGTTTGGACCAGCAAATAAATCTATCCATGAACAAATGCCAGGGAACTGAAAGACTTTAATTGGCCAGAGGTATCACATGTGCTAACCCCTTGCCTGCTACACGAACATCCTAGAATAAGAAAGTGAGAAAATTAATTCCCTGAAGAAAACCAGGGAACTGTTATTAACAGAAGAATAAATGGTTGCTGGTTTAGCAAAACAGCAGAGCTCCAGGACACACGCATATTTTCTTCTATATATTTTATTAAGACCTTCTTAAGGCCCCAGGTAGCCATAAAAAGAAGCATATACCTGGCCAAAGAATGAAAATGAAGAAAGAAAAACCATGACATTTGTCTTCAAAACTTGTCTCTACACTTTGCTTAAACAAATTTTAAAGTCATAATTTTAAGGTGTAGTTGTGCTTAAATATAAGTGCTAGATCTGGAAGGGAAACAATAGCACCAAAGATTCAACATGAATATTGTTTGACATGCACTAGGACTTCACTTCCATTGGAGCACAACATGACCTACCATTACTGGACATCTGACAAGTGCCAATAGAATGGTAGTCTCCTGTGGTGCTAGATAATTTATGCATGCATTTCTAATCTTCACAGCCACCAAAAATGTATTTTTATGTATACTGTAAGGGTGAAAAATGTGACCCCCATCAGATTATGTAAATAGTTCAAGATCACCAAGATCATATGTAGAAGAGCCAATATTCAAACTTCTTAATGAATACTTTTTGTATATCATGCTGCCTCTAAAGTATTTCACCATACTTCAAACCTAAAGCATTTTATTTATGCCTGTGTGTGGTTGTATGTCATAGAATAAATCTTGCTAGAACATACCAGATTATAGTCCTCTTCCTTAAAACATACAGATTCCCCCATTTCAGCTCTAATACTCTGCAAATGTGGGATACAGCCCATCTCCTAAATAATTAGTAGTCTCGCTAGATCAGTTTCATCAAAGTCCCTGGTGTTGGCAGCAGGTGTCATATCAGGTTAATATGACAGAGAGCCTTTGTAGGCTTTGATGTGCCAGAAAGAAAGTCCAGCACATTCTGGAAGTTACCAGGCATGCTTAGTCTCTATGCTGTAGCCTTCTGTTTGGGCAGATATTTGTGCAAGCTTACTCTGCTTTCAAAGACCTTATTAGAAACATCTTGAGTTTCTATGACACTCTAACTTTTGTGAAGCAAATTTAAATAAGTTAAAGTTGAAAGGGGTTTAGAGAGAGTGAGAGATAGAGAAGAGATTCAGCTTCTCTGTTCCCCAAAAAATCTAGCAAGGAAGAAATCAGAGCAAGTGTAGGTAAGCCTATATAAGTCATAGTAGGAACTCTAGGTCTTTCAGGCAGGCTTAGCCCTTCTCAGACCCTATCTGGTGCCCATCACAGGAATGTGAAGCGTTTATCCTGGGTTCTTCCAGTGAAAGGGGAACTAGCTCCGCAGCATAAGGCAGTCCTGTTCCAAAATGGCAGGCTCAATCATTAGTAGAGTTCATACTCAACCCCTCTAGAGGAAGGAGGCTTCACATAAGGGAGCTGATAGTGTCAAACTATCAAGGGGAAGATGTGAGAATCCCAAGCTCTGCAAAAAAAGTGTGTGGTTGGGGGGGACCTGGAATAGCAGTGATGGTGGGTGGTACAGTTCCAAGAGCTTTGAAGGGCATATAACACATATCTTACAAGAGTGCATTTTTCAATGAAGCTGACTTGAAATTGTCTTTGGCAAAGACTCACATGGTGTGACTCTGGGAAATGTGTGAGGCATAGCTTTTCCAAGACAGGAGTGTTTAGACTTTAATAGGGGCAGCAAACCCTGTAGCTATCCTCTATTTTCCCCACCTTTCCCCACTTCCACAGGCGAATCCCATAGAAACAGATAACTTAAAACTTAATGAAGATTTACAGGAGTTATTAAAAAATAAGTGTGTTATGAAGAATGTTAATAAGATGACTTATCTGTGAATATCAGATTAAACAGAATACCTATAAAATTGAGAAAACGGAGAAACCCTGCACATGTGGTAAAAACAGATGACCTCATCTACTGGTGTATTGTAGTGACCATTGAGGGCAGAAACAGCCTGTGCTTAGATATTGTACTTAGATCCCTTAATCCATTTTTATTGGCACTTACATCTGTTTTCCTCCAGAGAGGCTAATCAGAATGATTTGAGAGGTTTTTAAATAATTTCTCATGGACACCAATGAGAAACAGAGCCACTACAATCAAGGAAAATTTTATCATTTCTGTCTTTGCTTTCTTCACACATCAACCCTTTTCTTTCTGGTCATGGATATATTATGATGTGAGCCTAGAATGGCCGTGACCATCAAGCACACTTTTAAATTTTATGTAAAAGGTTCATATATGACATTATAAAGATGGCTTTATTATTATTATTACTAATATTATTATTATTTTGAGACGAAGTCTTGCTCTGTCGCCCAGGCTGGGGTACAGTGGCACGATCTGGGCTCACTGAAACCTCTGCCTCGCAGGTTCAAGCGGTTCTCCTGCCTCAGCATCCCAAGTAGCTGAGATTACAGGCATGCACCACCAAGACTGGCTAATTTTTGTATCTTTAGTAGAGACGGGGTTTCCCCATGTTGGCCAGGCTGGTCTCGAACTCCTTACCTCAGGAGTTTCCCCATGTTAGCCAGGCTGGTCTCAATCTCCTGACCTCAGCCTCCCAAAGTGCTAGGATTATAGGAATGAGCCACCGTACCCTGCCCCAAAGATGACTTTAAAGTTAAAAATATATATACAGAATCATCTGAGACCACAATAAAAGAAAATAGTACTTAAAAACAAAGCCAGAGTACAATGCTGAGAATGAACCCTGATATAAACTACAGATTTTGTGTGAGAACGAAAAGTCAATGTGGTTTCATCAGTTGTAACGAATGTTCCACTGTGGTGGGAAATGTTGAGCATGAGGGGGATGGTGCTTGTGTAGGGGCAGAGGGGCTATGGGAAAGCTCTGTACCTTCTGTTCCATGTTGCATCAACCTAAAAGTACACAAACAAGAAGTCTGTTTTTCCAAAAAAGCTATTAAACAACAACATGTACTCAACTAGTTTTTAACTTGTTTTCTTGAATCTGCATAGGCAATAAAGACCTACAATTCCTGAATATTAAGAGTGTATCAATAATGAAATAATTACATATTAAAATGAATGGAGTTCACTGAAACCTATAGACAGGGATAAGTTCACGGCTTCAAAGATTTTTATTACTATCAAAAACATGACAAAAATTAAATGAATGTCACACTTTCAACTAAAGAAGTTAAAAATGTATATAATAAAAAAGTTAAGAAATTCATAAAGATAATTGTAGAAATTGGTAATTTAGAAAAAACAAATAAATATTTTCTTTGAAAAAATGAAATGGAATCAAAAAACCACTGCACTATTGAGTTTTTATTTTTGATTCATCTCACAGCTAGCTGATGGAGGCCTTACAGCATTTTTTTTTAATATATGAAGTATTTTCTGGACCCATACATATCTGAAAATAGCTTCTTCTTGTAATCACACATGAAAAGAAAACGTTAGCTGGGAACAGAATTCTTCAATAGCAACAATTTCTCTCTTAAAGTTTACTAGATATTTATTATCAGCTGACATTGCTATAAACAAAAAGTCAAAGGCTGGTTTCATTTTTTCTTTTTAAAAATAATATTTCACTGCTTTATCCTTGCAATATTTTTTAACTGATGCTTTAAATTTTCTTATTTTGTTTTTCAGTAATTTTAGACCATGAAGCAGTTCTTTTTTTGTTTAATAATATTTTCTTCTGCTAGCTTTTTGGTGATTACTTTTGCTCAGTTGTTCTGGGTCCTTCCTGAGGATGTCATTTATTAATATGTGACTATTTATATCCTGTCATTCTTAACATTTCTTTAAAAAAATAATAAGTGAGTAGTAGATGCTCGAAAAACAATAGTGAACAACATACAAAGGATTTCTAACTTTCGGCACATACAATCTAAGAAAAAAATAAATTAATGAAATAAACATAAATATGTTTACTGTTTAGTCCTACAGCCATTTATTTTCTTTTATGTGTTTTTAGTTTTTGTTATTTCCCCCCTCCATTCTTAAATCTCTAGTTTATCATCTACATTACTGCTTTAATTTTCTACTGTGTTAATTTTATTCTTTACAGTTCTACACTTCAATATATCTTTTAATTATATTTTTAAAATTTTCACTTACTATTTAAAACCTTCCTGTAAACTTCTTTTCTCTTGCAAATTGTATCTCAACCAAATCCATCTTCATGCTGCTATCACAGAATTCATGATTTTTGGCCTTTATCAAAAGCACCAACAAATGCATTCTTAAAAAGTTTTACATAATTTTTTTATAAATATGATTTTGCTCCAAATTTTTCAGGACATTTACCCTCGTAATGTTACAGAATCTTTGCCTAAATTTTATTTTGTTTCAGTTTACCTGTTTTCATTAAAGAGAGATCTCTTTAGATCTGGAGCTTTCCAATAACAGTGTGCATTTATTCATTTTGATCCATTTTTCCTGTCAATCTAAGGATTTCCTGAATGTCCTTGCAAGTACAAGTACGAGCATATGTGTGTGTCACCTAAACAGACTACTAAAATCTTAGAGACATTAATCTAACAGTACTATTGGAGTAAGGCAGGGCAATCTGCAGCCATCTCCATCTGTTCTTTTGCAAAACAAGGTGTATAAAGTTACATTCCACAGCTCCCTACTCCTGCTGCTCTCCTTTCCTCTGTCCTGACCTATGCAGGGCAATGTGCCCTTGCCTATTCCCTTGAACACCCTATGTCTTTCATACCAATTGGACATAGAGGTAGACATGGTAATGGAAACTTTATGTGGAGGATGATGACATGGTGGGAGTGTGACTTCCAGGGCTCCTGTTTGCTGGCACAGATACCAGGTTAACTGAGACTGCGGTTCCAGGAAGAGTAGGTGCAAACCGTGGCTTACCTCTCGTGTCACTGGCTGTGTGGCTGTTTAAGTGGACTGGGCATAAGCAGGAATTTTTGAACTAATCTGTGCTCTGGTACTGTAAACAGGAGTAACTTCTGCTGTAGTGTGACCATTTTCTGATTACTGTCTTAGCGCCTTAGGATGTTGTCATTTAGTTTTTTGTCATATTGATTTTGAAAGGAAGGTAGGAAAAGCCAAACACTGTGTCATAATTGCCATCTAGATACAGGGTTCCTTCCTTCCTTCCTCTTTCTTCTTTTTCTTTCCTTCTTTCTCTTTCTTTCCTTCTTTCTCTCTCTTTCGTTTTTCTGTTTATTGTGTTTCATTCTCAAGGTCATACTGTATCTGTTTTCTCAAACTTTCTACTTCAAGCGCATGAAAGGAAAGGTTTCCCAAGCTTGGGGTAAATACCTGGCAGTGGTCTTCAAGTTCCTCTTTCCATTACAGCAATAGTCACTACATCAATCAAATGGAGCAATGATTTGTAAGACCTTGGAAACCAGAGAGCATGATAAAGTGGAAGAGGTATTATCAAGGAAGATACATTCCATGTGCAGATACATTTTAGAGCACAGGTTATTCAGGGTGGTCCCAGGACCAGCAGCATCAGCATTCCCATAGAACTTGTTAGAAAAGCAAATTATCTGGCCCCACCCTAGAACTGCAGAATCAAACTCTGGGGCTGGGGCCCAGCAATCTGTTCTTTAACAAGCCCACCAGGTGATTCTGACACTTGCTAAAATTTAAGGACTGAGGGTTCAGGTTTCACAGAGGTTAAGGGGTACAAAATTATAGCTAGACAGGAGGAATACATTCTGGTGTCATACAGCACTGTAGGCTGACTAGAACTAACAACAATCTATTATATATTTTCAAATAGCTAGCAGAGAGGATTTTGAATGTTCCCAACATGAAGAAGAAATGAGAACTGTTTGAAGTGATGGATATGCTAATTACCCTGATTTGACCATTACACATTGTATGAAAGTATTGGAACATTATACTGCATCCCATAAATATGTGCAATTATTATGTGCCAATTAAATTTTTTTTTTAAATTGAGAATCATTGACTTAGGGAATAAAGCATGTTGTGGTCAGTTCACTGAGAGGATGGGCTCTGAGTGCAGCATATATTCTATCATCCTGACAATTGAACTGAGAACAAATTACAATAAAAGTAGCTGGTAGTTTCACTGTTTATTCACTCATTCAACTTCCGTGTCCAGCCATGCACCCAGTGCCGAGAAAACAATGTAAGATCTCCCAGT